>NC_000001.11:57432622-57584138 GCF_000001405.40 Homo sapiens | reverse complement strand
TCAACAGTTTATGAGTGGCTGAAGTATAGCCACTGGGACTGGCCAAGACTCAGCTATTGTTACAGGCGCATACTCCTAAGTTAGGTTTTCAGTCTTCTCTACCTATTAAGCTAGGTTGCAGTTCGTCCACAAGGACTCAAATAGAGAAGTACGGAGTCCTTCTCAGGCCATATTTAGTTCACTTTAACAGATTCTATAGCAGATCTAGAGAAAACAGCATAGCCCTAAGGCCGCAATGGCATGTAAGCCCCACTTCTTCACCCCTAACCAGGAGCATTTCCAGAGAAGAACCAAGGTCTCTAAGAGATTCTTGTACCAGAGAAGATGGAGATATGATTACCTGACAAGATTCATTTTTCCACCACTATCCCATGTGAGGCTCATGAGGGCAATTGGAAGAAATTTGGAAAGTACAGGAGTCACATTTTCTAGATACATATGATTTGTTTGATGCACAGGGAAACCCAAACATCACTGCTAAGCTGAATCTGGCCCATGGGCTACTGGTTTGCCAACAGAAATCCAATCCCATCATTTAATGTAAGAGGAAACTGGGCCGGGCGTGGTGGCTCAGGCCTGTAATCCCAGCACTTTGGGAGGCTGAGGCAGGCGGATCACAAGGTCAGGAGATGGAGACCCTCTTGGCCAACGTGGTGAAACCCCATCTGTACTAAAAATACAAAAATTAGCTGGGCATATTGGCGCGCGCGTGTAGTCCCAGCTACTTGGGAGGCTGAGGCAGGAGAATTGCTTGAACCTGGGAGGCAGAGGTGTCAGTGAGCTGAGATCGCACCACTGCACTCCAGCCTGGGCTACAGGGCGAGATTCCATCAAAAAAAAAAAAAAAAGAAAAGAAAAAAAACAAGAAACCGAGGCTCAGAGAGGGCATGTGTCTAGAGTCCCAAAGTAAGTTTGTACATGTATGCTTTAGGATGCTTTTGGCTCCTGGTAACAAATGACCTGGATAAAAGTAGCTGAAAACACTGGGGTTTATTATGTAAACATAACTAGAACTGTAGGGTAGGCAGTTCCAGCTTCTGCTAACTCAGCAGTTCAATAATTTCAGTGCTCTGAGTTCACTTCTCCAATTCTCTTTGTTTTTCCTCTCATAGTCACAAAAAGGCAGCCCTGCTTCACATTCCGTCCTCACATTCCAGCATATAGGGAAGAAAAGGGATTTTCATCAGAACTGGAAGTCTTTTCCTGAAGCCCCATTTTGTCTCAATGACCAAAACTGGGTCATAGGCGCACTGCTTAACCAGTCACCTGCAAGAAGGAATGAGACTATCCTGGTTGCTTTGGCCAATCATGATCCACCCTGTGGGTTGAACCCACCTTCCCTGAGCATGTTGTTATAGGTTATCTAAACCAAGTCAGGATCTTGTCATGAGACAGGGACTGTGATGCTGTTGGAGTGGCATCGGACCCTGTGGAGCGGGAAACAGGATCCAGCTCTCCTGAATCCTCAGCTGCCACATCCAGCACCCATGAGGAGGAGGCTCCTATCAGCTCATAACAGTTGTTTGTGAACCTATTTGCCCATGCTATGGATTGAAAGTTTGTGTATCCTCCTGTTCCCTAAATTCATATGTTGAAGCTCTAATCCCCAGTGTGATGATGTTTGGAAATGTCTTTGGGAAGTGATCTAGTTTAGCTCCATGTCCCCACCCAAATCTCATCTTGAATTGTAATCCCCACGTGTCAAGGGAGGGACCTGGTGGGAGGTGATTGGATCATGGGAGCGGATTTCTCCCTTGCTGTTCTCATGATAGTGAGTTCTCACAAGACCTGGTTGTTTGATAAATGTCTGGAGCTTCCTTCTGATTTTTCTCTCTCTCCTGCCACTCTGTAAGATGTGCCTTGCTTCCCGTTTGCCTTCTTCCATGATTGTGAAGCCTCCGCAGCCACATGGAACTGTGAGTCAATTAACCCTCTTTTGTTTATAAACTATCCAGGCTCAGGTGGTATCTTTATATCAGTGTGAAAATGGACTAATACAGGAGGTGAATAGCTTTAAATGAGGTCATTGAGGGTAGAGTCCCATGGTAAGATTAGTGCCCTTTTAAGAGTAGGAAGAGACCAGAGCTTCCTCTCTCTGTTCCATGGGAGGCTACACAAGAAGGTGATTGTCTACAAGCCAAGAAGACAGTCCTCACCAGGAACCAAATCTGCTGGCATCTTGATCTTGGACTTCCCAGCCTCAAAAACTATGAGAAATAAATTCCTGTTTAAGCTGCCCAGTCTATGGTATGTTGTTATAGCAGCTCAGGCTAAGACGGCCTATTTCTCAGAAACTTAGCAAAAGCAGCAGAAGATATTTTAATAATCTTCCTAAATGAGCCATGTGTTCTATTTTCAAATAAAATAACCTGAAAATACATAATAATTAATCTAACACATATAATATATATTATATAATAATATATTAGATTTATTATATAGTATATGTTATATAATATATAATGTGGTATATAGGACCATATTATTATAGTTGTGTATAAATATTTCGTGTATTTCACACATAAATGATTTCATGTATATCTCACCACAATTCAATGAGGTCAGTGCCACCATCTTTATCTTACAGATTATGAAACTGAGAACGAGAGAGGTTTAGTATTTTGTCCGGTCACTCAGCTCGCAAGTAGTCAACCCAACATTAGGGGTGGCACAATTTACCAGACTAAAGGAGAGTCTTCACCCATGGACTTTCCATTGTATTCAAATCCTTTACAGATTTGGGGCATGCAAATATCCAGCACAGCCCACTCCTTTGAAGCTCATAGTATTTTTAAAAAAATTTTAAAGAACCATATTTAGGTCGCTCATTTTATTTTTTGTTCCCCTAGAGTTTTTCTCTGAAGTGTTACACTAAAAATATGTCATTCTATTAATGTCTTTCTTATTCCCTTTCCCAATCCTCCAAAGCTTTAAAAGATTTTACCTTTGTCAAGTGAAGAAATTGTCTTGATTTCTTAAAGTGACAAAAATATGCCTGGATGTTTGACAAGGAGTTCCACCAGCCTCACAGATAAAACCAGCAGGTATTTGAGTCTCTGAGGCATCTCCAAAGAGGAGGCCCAGAGAGGGCCCCACACACAGGTCAGTAGACAGGCCTCTTGCTTTGGCTTAGCATCTAATTTTCTCATTCCTGTCCTCTTGGTGCCCAATAGGGCTGGGTTGGGAAATGGCAGGTACCCTTATCTGAACTCAGCCAGGCAGCCCTGCATTCCAGTGCCAGTTCTTGGGGTACTGGCCAAGTGACCATGGGCAAGTCTGTTCACCTCCACCCTGAACCTCAACTAACCCATTTGTATACTGGATACAATCATACCCAAATTATAAGATTATTATGAGGATGAGATTAGTTGTCTGTAAAGCACTGATCTGATGCTTGAAGTGTGATTGTTGCTCCGTGACGAGTAGCTGCAATTATTATAATTATCATTAGTCCAAATTCCATGGCTAAGTCCCTGTATGGTCTTAGCATCTTCTCAAGCCTTTACCCTTCCCTGCTCAGACAAGGGAGATCAAGGAGAAGGAAAAAGAGGAGAGGAGACTTGAATTCCTGTTAAATAAAGACCTGCTGGCAAACCCAAGGATGGAGAAGATCCTGATTTCAAATGCTGGAAGTGCTGGTATCATGTGAAAGAAGGATGAGATTGGTTCATGTGTCCCTAATAAAGGAAGCCACGACCAAGGAGTAGAAGCTGCAGGAGGACAGGTGTCAGGTGGTATCAGGAACCAGATTGTCACAGTCGGTTGGCCAGACATGGATGGGGCTGCCTGGTAAGGCAGGAAGCTTTGTCTCCCCGGAGATGTACAAGCAGAATGGGATGACCATTTGTAATATAGCCTTATTGTTGTGGTTTTTGTATATGTGTGCGCAGTCATAGTTTTGAGACCCAGGCTAGAAGCTGCTCAGTTTTCCTTCTTGAGAAGCCGATGAAGTCTGCAATCCCAACCTCTTCTCTTACTGGGTTCCCACACTTTGAGCCACTACCCACCCACCCTAACCACCCCAGGGCCAGGTGTCAGACAACTAGGGACAGCCGCTGTGCTACAGAGCACGTTGGAATTACCCAAACTAGCCAATCCTAACCCTGTGTGCCCTGCCTTGCCCTTTCCTTACCTCAGAAACCACAATGAAGTCTCTTGCCATAGTCCCCCTCTCACTCTCTCTGTGACCAACCCTGACACTTCTTTGAGTGGCCCTGCATGGTAGGCTATGTTTTCCTCAGAGAACTGTGAGTGTAATGAAACCTCTGAGCTTTCCTGATGTCTCTCTTTTGACCTGCGCCTGGTTTTACCATACCTCACCAAGGTAATATGATTAAAACACCACTTTCCAGGGATGTTGCAGAGGTTGCACATATTAAGAGACTAGGTCAATGTTTCTCAAAGCTTGCTGCGTTATACACCACAGGTTCCCACTGTCCTCTCTGCTCTCCCCAGGTCTGATTCAGTGGGTTTAAGGTAGCCCCTAGGGAGTCTGAATTTTAACCAGCTCTCTAGTTAATTCTGACTAGGCAGCCTATGAACCTGCTCTCCTTCAAACCCACGAGTCTGTAATTGTTAAGAAGAAAAGAAAATAGAGATCACTAAGGGAATAAAAATAGTCATGTTAATTAGATCCACATAAAGCCATAGTTTACAAAGTGCTTTCATAGGCTTCCCCTCAGTTAACCTTCACAGTAGTCCTAGGGAGTGAATATTGTTATAGCACCTGATTTACAGGGAAATCTGAGAGTACCCTGTACTCCCAGGGTCTGAAGGCCAGCAAGTGATAGGGTAAGATTTGAACTCTGCTGAGTTTCTCTTCAAAGCCCAATGTCTATCACAGAACAAGGAAACCAACATTTAAGGAACCTTCATTATGATGGATAGGGAAAAGAGAACAACCTGCTAAAACTAAAACAAATATTCTATACTTTAGCTCTCAGTCCCTGGCTTGCTTGAACTTATTAAACACCCAGTTATTCCTCACTGATGTGGGTGACAGCAGTTGCAGCAGCCCACAAGTTTCAGGTGGGTCCAACCTCAAGCCCATTTCTAAAACTCTGTGGGATCTTTATATGTGATGGTGACCATATCTGACCCCCTGCTTCTTGGAGGTGCTAGTTTTTCTTTATTTGGAAATCCAATTCATCCAAAGTAGCTGGAGCTTTGAATGAAGACCAACTCCTTTCATAGCAAATTATTCATGTATTCAGGCAATGATTCAGCAGCAGGTAGCAAATGCTGACTGTGTGCAAAGGGCTTGACTGTCTCACTTCAGAGAATTAGAAAGGAAGTCAGACATTTAGTCCTAGGCTCAAGGGAAAGAACAGATGCAAATCCACATGAACCCTCCTACCAGAAGTGAATGCATGTGTAGCAAATGAATGTGTAACTAAATTAATACATTAAGTAGTATAAGTCAACCTTGGACTACTTATCTATATCTCTAATGCATCCTCCCATTGGCAAACACGAGGAATTTACTTATGGAATCGTATGTGGCATATACTGAGCACCTGCAAAGTGTCAGTGAAAAGAGCTCAGATAGATGAGTTGAGATTCAGAGATGTTAAGGGATTTGTCCTATGTCCCCTAGTTTATAAGTGGCAGAGGCCAGGCGTGTGCCCTCTGGAACATAAGTTCTATGAAGATAAGTGTCCAGCCTGGATCAGTGCCCTGTGCAGTAAGCATTAGTTAGATCTAATCCAGGTAAGCCTGTAACTCCAAAGCCCATGAAGCTTTTTTCACTGAACTCATAGGGTAAGCACTTGGTGCTCCCCTGTCTGGATTTAGCAGTGCCAGAAGCTTTGGCCTGGCTATGAATCATCTCTGCAGATCCAAGACCTGCACAGTGGACATGCTTCATGCCAAAGAAGCCTGGTACCAGAAGCTCCTTGGTTTGATAGAAAATTCAAAAATAGATGCATCTGAAGATCCCTCAGCACAGCTCCCTGCTATGGCCATGGAAGAACCCTCTGGCACAATTTTGATTTACGAGTCCCTGGCATGACCTAATTTAACTTCTTTCATTCGCATGATAAATGAAAATGCCAGAATGGAGTCCCAAAGGGCTTTCTCCACTCACTGACAGGCACCTCAGCCCAGTGGCTGCCTGGTGGTGGCAGTGGAGGTGGCACCTCTGTTGACCCCAGCTGGGGACACTCTTCAGCCTTCATGTGGAGATGTGTTGGCTTCAGAACCAGCTGTTTTATATTTCCTCTGCTCATTGGAGCACATTTTCAGGTCATGTCCAGTTTCTAGAAAGAACTTAGGGAAGGCGATGTCAAGGAGCCCTAAGCTGGACTAAAAGAGGATGCAAAATGGCATTTTCAAGAGAATGGCAGCATCAGATCACTAGGGAACATACTAAGTATGAACAATCCAGAGTCTGCCCTCAGAAATTTGGATTCAGCAGGTTTTGTGGAGCTCAGGAATCTGCATTTTTAACAGCCACCCCTCCCCCTAGAGTGGATTAAGATATGGGTTGATGAGAGCTGGCATTTGGCTTCAGTTGGTTCTCGCCACCCACACATGTGGCCTTAGGAAAGTGTTACAACCTCTCTGAGCCTGTTTCTTTATGGGAGTAACAATACCTACCACATAGTTTATAGTGAGAACTAAATGATAAAATGAATTTTTAGTGTTCGGTAATCAATTAAAGGTTGGGTATTATTAAAAGGCTGTGAACAACTGAATTTTGAAAAGGCCTGTTTTTTTTTTTTTAGGAAGCCTCCAGCCACACACCAGATCACGAGGGTTAGAGGTCCCAGCCTGTCAAACATGGAGTCTCCAACTAGTTTCCCAACCTCTCCAAGCTTCAATGTCTTTATCTATAAAATGGGAACTTTTCTAATACCCATCTTTCTGAGCTGTTACGAGGAGGAAATGAAAAGCCTAGCTGATAAACACAGTATTGTAAGTTATAAAGCACTTTGTGGATTTGCCTTGATTCGTGTAATAGCAAAAATTATCTGAATGGGTACCAAAGTGTCCCCCATCAGAAGCCCTGATGGCCTGCTTTCCCGAGCATTACAGACTCATTTCCAGCTGCAGCATCCATTTGTATGCAGACAATTATTGTGCAGTAGGCCTTCACCACTGCTCCTGCACGGAAGGTGCTAGCTGCAATCTTGTTTACATTATTAATTTGCTTAGTAAACCCTTTCAAGTCAGGTTCACGTAGAGGTGAGCTGGGAAGCAGCCACAGTAGATAAGCCTGCAGGGTGGGGAAGAGAGCCTGTAAGGCAAACATGTGGCAAGCGGCCGAGGGCATATATTGCTCATAGGAAGCTAGGAAGCCCCAAGTCTTAGTGTCTTTGTCAGTCTTCCACCCGTCTCAGAAAAGCAGACTTGGTTTTTTGGAATTTTTAAATTTGTATTATTGTTTGTTTCATTGCTGTAGGCAGTATATATCACCACCTGTATTAGTTTCCTAGGGCTGCTATTTTAAAAGTACCTCAAATTGAATCTTAAAACAACAGAAATCTATCATCTCACAGTTCCGGAGGCCAAAAAATCCAAAATCGAGGTGTGGACAGGGTCACACTCCCTCTGAAACTTGTAGGAGATAATCCTTCCTTGTCTCTTCCTAAATTCTGCATTTGCCAGCAATCCTTAGTGTTCCTTGTAAATGCACCATTCCAATTTCTATCTCTTCCTTCACATGGTCGTCTTCTCCCTGAGTCTCTGTCTTCTTCTTATAAGGACAGCAGTCATATTGGATTAATGGCCCAGCCTACTCCAGTATAACCTCATCTCAACTTAAGTACAGCTTCTTTTTGACTCACAATGGGGTTTTATCCCAATAAGCCCATTGTATAGTAAGTTGAAGATATCGTCAGTTGAAAATGCATTTAGTACACCTAACCTACCAAATCTCATAGCTTAGCCTGGTCTACCTTATGTGTGCTCAGAACATTACATTACAGTTGGACAAAATCATCTAACACAATTCTAGTTTATAATAATGAAACTAAAAATATTATGATTAAAAAATAAAAATAATAAAAATAAAAGATCAAAATCTAAAATGTGAAGTACGATTTCTACTGAATGTGCATTGGTTTAACAATCATAGGGTCAAAAAAATCATAAATTGAACTATTTTAAGTTGGGGACTGCCTGTAATTACATCTGGAATGAATTTATGTCCAAATAAGCTTGCATTCTGAAGTACTAGGGGTTAAGACAGCAACATATTTTTTGGGGGGTGAACCTAATTCAAGCCGTAATGCCACCTAGGTACAATTCCTCCTTGCTTATTAATTATCAGTATATCAACTTCATGAGAGCAGAGACTCTGTTCATTGTTGTTTCTCCAGGGTATAGGTCAGAACTTGGCATATAAGAGAACTCAATAATGACTTGCTAAATTAAAGAATGGCTTACAGTCTGCAGCCTGGCTAAGGAAATAAACATAAAGTTTGAGGGGATTAGACAGTCTTAGGTTCATAGCTCAGCCCCAGTACAGTACTGTATTTTGGCACTAGTTTCTTAACCTCTCTGAAGCTCTGTTTTTTCATTTCTATAATGACATAGCAACATTTCACTGTCTTATCATTTTCATTGAACTGTTCTGAAGCTATGTTTCATCTGGTGCCATTTGCATTTTCTACATCATGTGACTCCAATTCTCTAGTATCTGCTTTCAGCTCTGTTTTCAACTTTTCGATGTGGGACCAAGTGTATTCTCTCAGAGACTTGGTTTTCCAGTCTATGAGGTTGAGAATTGCACCTTCTAGCCCACATCGCAGGGCTTTTAGGAGATTTTGCTACAGCAATGTATGCAGAAGCATTTTGGCAACTAAATAGATGTAGAATTTTTATGATCAATTTAAAGGTACTATTAACACTATTCAACATTTATGTTGCTTCTTCATCAGGTTTAAAAGGCATCATTTACATTTTTGTTTGTGAGTCTTTTTTATAGAATATTTGACTGAAGCCCAGCAAGGTTAAAAATTTGCATAAGATCACAGGACTATTTGCAAGGTGCCCGCTGAAAGCCACTCAGTTCCTGGTGCTCCCTTCACCCTGTTCCCTGTTCTCTGCCAGGCTTGTAATCATATTGGGGAGACCCAGCAATGAGGCCAGCAGTTTCATCCATTTATGTAAATATTGATAGAAGGTTAACAACAACCTCTAATTAGTTCATTTCATCTCCTCCTTTTCCTTCTCTATAAGGTATCTTTTATATGGATGAGGAAATAGAGATTGAATCAGAAAGAAAGAAAGGCAGGCCCTGCCCATCAGTCCTAAAGATTAGGGCTGTGTGATTGTGTTTCCAGGAGCTACCCAGGAGGCCCTGATCCCTGCCACCTGTGGATTCTGCTATGCCCAGTTCTTGAGCCAAGCCAACCAGTGGGCACTACCCAATAGGAAGAACCCCACCAACAGGTGGGATCTGGCATGTACTTTGTGACCTGGGGTCTGGGGTTCTAGTCTAGATATCTGCCTGCCCAGAAAGCTGCAGTCTTCCCTCCTAATCTATAGCTACCTTGATTACCTAGGACACAAGCCTGGAGAGGAGCAAAGTTTCCTGAAATTTTCAAGGGCTCTGAAATCAAAATGAACCAGAAATTGAATCTCGTACTGGTCAGTTTGAACCTGTGTGATCTAGGAGAAATGCTTAATTACTTTGAAGTTACTTTTCTCTTCTAAAAAATGGGGATTAAGAATAGAATTAAGAGAGATGATATATGAACAGCACATAGTTCTTGGCACAAAGTGGAAATTCAATAAATGCTTGCTGCTTTGCTTCCCATTCTCCACTTTGACCAGGGCCTGCCAAATTCACATCCTGTTGAGCAGCAGCCCTACCAAGTGTCCAGTCCTGCTCTTCCCCTCTGTACCTCCCACAAATCCTCCAGCCATGCCCTCTTTATGCCCTGTCCCCAAGCACTGGTTAGGTCATGGTGAAACAAAAGGACTACGACTACCTGATAGCCACCATGGCCTTCTCCCCAGGGACCTCTACTTCTATGTCCACTTCACCTGGGTATCAGAATCCATCTTAGTTGAACAAAAGTTTGGAAAAATCCCCAGGATATTGCAATATGGACTTCTGGCATATCTGGTTACCATCCTTCCAGAATCATTCTTCTCTAAGAACCACTCTTCTTTTTTCTTCTGGCCACCAGTGAATACTCAGGGTGTCCCACAGCCCAAGCCACATGAGTTGTGAGACCACTTTCCCCTTCTCAATAATCAAGGAGAGTGTTTATTCCTTATTCAATCTTTTTACTAATGCTTCACTCATTAATTTATCACATTTATGGAGCACATACTGCACGCCAGGACTTGTGTTAGGTGTGAGGAACCAAAAATAACAAAGTTGTGTTATTTTTGTAATATGGAATGATTGTGAACAGAGGTGGGATGACTGGGGAATCAGCCACATTCCAGCAACTTCTCCAGCTTCCTGGATGCTGTAACCATACGGAGGCTCAGTAGCCCAGGGAATGGTTACTAGGGCCCTTCATTGCAACACGGATTTATACCACAATGAATACTTATCAGACATAGTTAAGAGATTATCCTAATATGTGTTCAAGTCCACTGATATCCAAACTCAGAGACAGCTTCTATTTGTTTAGAGCAATAACATGCACTTAAAGTATTAGTGAGCCAACTCTTGCATGGGTGCTGGGAGTTTGCTCTCCCTTTAGGTTTTATGCAGGTCTGAAAATATTTGAGGATTCTGACTCAGTATCAAAGTACATTCAGTAATAATAATTAATTATAATGAGGTCAGGCATGGTGGCTCATGCCTGTAATCCCAGCACTTTCAGAGGCTGAGGCAGGAGGATTGCTTGAGGCCAGGAGATTGAGATCAGCCTGGGGAAAATAGTGAGACCACGTCTCCATGTAAAGTTTTTTTTAAAAACCAGCCAGGTGTGATGGTATACACCTGAGTCCTAGCTACTTGGAAGGCTGAGGCGGGAGGATCCCTTGAGCCCAGGAGTTGGAGGCTGCAGTGAGCTATGATTGTGCCACTGCACTCCAGCCTGGGAGATGGAGGGAGACCCTGTCTCTAAAAAAACACCAAAAACCAAAAATTATAATAAATATGATCATTGATATAGTTTGGATATTTGTCCCTGCCCAAATCTCTTGTTGAATTTTAACCCTCAATTCTGGAGATGGAGCCTGGTGGGAGATGTTTGGGTCATGAGAGTGGATCCTTAATGGTTTGGTGCTGTCTTCAAGATAGTGAGTCCTTGAAAGATCTGGTCATTTAAAAGTGTGTGGCACCTTTCCCTTCACTCTGTCTCTTGCTCCTGCTTTTGCCATTTGATGTGTCTGCTCCCCCTTCACCTTCTGCCAAGATTATAAGCCTCCTGAGGCCTCCCTAGAAGCTGAGCAAATGCCAAAACTGTGCTTCCCGTAATGCCTGCAGAACCATGAGTCAAGTAAGCCTCTTTTTTTAATAAATTACCCAGTCTCAGGTACTCCTTTATAGCAACACAAGAATGACCTAATACAATTATGTAAAAACTCCATTTATTGAGGGCTTATTATATGCCAGGCCTAAATATTTATATGGATTAACTCATTTAATCCTCACAACACCCTTATAAGGGAGCTAACACTCTTATCCTCATGTTATAGATGGGAAAACTGAGGCACAGAGAAGCTGTAACTTGCCTGATATGGTATAGCTAGAAAGTATTATAGCAAGGATTTAAACACAAGCATTCTGGCTCCAGAGCCCACACTCTTAAATTGGGTATGTGCTTGCATCAAACACCTCACAAAAATTATTCAGTCCTCTCCACCCTAGGAAGAAGGTGTGATAATTCCTGTCTTGCAGATGAGGAAACAAAAGCCCATGGTTAATGACATGCTCAAGATCCCACAGCTAGTCAGTAGTGGGGCGGGGATTTAAACTTAGGTGGCCTCTCTAGAGTCACATGCTTGGCCGCCATGTGAGAGTTTCATTCATGTGGTTTTGGCCTAACCTTGCCCACACCTGAAGCTTTTTGACTTCCATCTGCAGGTTCAGGCTTTGTTTTCTAGACCTCTGGGCCCTAAAACTAAGTCAACATATTTCCTCACTTCTTTACTGCTAGTGCCACTCGCAGCTGGCCAGGACGGTCACCTCCAGGATTTGTCATGGACTGTCCATGCTTGAACATTCACAACATTCCTTTAGCACTTAAAATTGTATTTTCCAAAGCACCTTCCATGGGATAATTTATTGGTTCTCCAGATCACCCCATGAGGATGAGAGAGGCAGAGGCTGGCTGCTCTCTCCCGCTGAAGAGGGCTCCAGTGAAGGAGCCTTTCCCCACAGTGACTTGCTCCGTAACCAGACCTGGGGCTAGAACCCAAATCCCAAATTTACTCTAGCAGTGCTTATTTCTCTGTTTAATTCCTGTCCAGAGAGAAATGATCTAAGCTCAGCTTTCCCCTGCTATTTTGCCCAATACTTGTAATCAGGATGTTTCACATCTCCCAATGCCTTTGTCACCTGAAAAATTAGGAACAGATGGTCGTTTGTCTTCTTCTAGCCCAACATTCTTTTCCAGCTGGGAGGAGGGCCCTAGGCTCAAACACTGTAATTTTTTGAGAGGATGTAATGTACCTCTCTCAAATTACTAGCACATTTTGAAACACAATTTAAAACAGCTAATCTATGCCATGTCCATGTATTCTTACCCCATTTCTCAACTGCTGGGTTGCAAGGTTATCCTCTGTGCAAATTACATGCAGTGAATAGAGGGCTGGTATACACAGACTTTGGTTTTCCCATCTGTAAAATGGGTGGTAAGGATGACACTAAAGGCAGGGAGAACACAGGGGGCTGAATTACATAATTAAGATTCTTCTCATACTATTCTTCAATTACTATAAAATGTCTTGCACAAGGATGCCCACTTTCACCACTTCTATTCAACGTAGTACTGGAAGTCCTAGCCAGAGCAACCAGATAAGAGAAAAAAATAAAGGGCACCCAAATCAGTAAAGAGGAAGTCAAACTGTCACTCTTTTCTGATGACATGATGATATACCTAGAAAACCCTAAAGGCTCATCCAAAAAGCTCTTAGAACAGATAAATGAATTCAGCAATGTTTCAGGATAAAATTAATGTACACAAATCAGTAGCTTCTGCTATACACCAACGGTGACCCAGATGAGAATCAAATCAAGAACTCAACCCAATTTATAATAGCTGCAAAACAATTAACAGATAAAATACTTAGGAATATACCTAACCAAGGAGGTGAAAGACCTCTACAAAGAAAACTACAAAACACTGCTGAAAGAAATCATAGACAACACAAACAAATGAAAACACATCCCATGCTCATGGATGGGTAGAATCAATATTGTGAAAAAGACCATACTGCCAAAAGCAATCTACAAATTCAATGTAATTCCCACCAAAATACCATCATCGTTCTTCACAGAACTATAAAAAATAATCCTAGTTGTTTGAAGGGGTGAGAGATAAAATTCATATGGAATTAAAAAAGAGCCTGTATAGCCAAAACAAGACTAAGCAAAAAGAACAACTCTGGAGGCATCACATTACCCGACTTCAAACTATACTGTAAGGCAATAGTCACCAAAACAGCATGGTACTGGTATAAAAATAGGCATACAGACCAATGGAACAGAAAGAGAACCCAGAATAAAGCCAAATACTTACAGTCAACTAATCTTCAACAAAGCAAGCAAAAACATAAGGTGGGTTAAACATAAGGGACAGAACTAAAGCAGTATATATATATATATATATGAGTTTGTTAAGTATTAACTCACGTAATCACAAGGCCCCACAATAGGTTGTCTGCCCAGTGAGAAACAAGGAGAATCAGTTCGAGTTCCAAAACTGAAGAACTTGGAGTTCGATATTCCAGGGCAGGAAGCATCCAACATGGGAGAAAATTGTAGGCTGGGAAGCTAAGCCAGTCTCTCTTTTCACATTTTTCTGTCTGCTTATATTCTAGCTTCGCTGGCAGCTGATTAGATTGTGCCCACCCACATTAAGGGTGGGTCTGCCTTTCCCGGCCGACTGACTCAAATGTTAATCTCCTATGGGAACACCCTCACAGATACACCCAGGATAAATACTTTATATCCTTCAATCCAATCAAGTTGACACTCAACTCAGTATTACCATCACAAGCCCACCCCTTGTCAACTTGAACCCATACACATCTCCTGAGATCATACATAATCTTCAAATAAAGACAATAATAAGGTTGTAATTGCACCTAACATAATACAACTATCCTTCGTACAACGGGAAATGCACCAATCCCCAACCCAAATACTATTACATAAAGTTAACAATATTTAAATGCTGATGTGAAATCGATAAATCTTATGTCACATGATAAAGGAGAAAGGAAATAAAATGAAGATATTTTCTTTTTTTTTATTAGTATACTTTAGGTTCTAGGATACATGTGCACAACATGCAGGTTTGTTACATATGTATACATGTGCCATGTTGGTGTGATGCCCCCATTAACTTGTCATTTACATTAGGTTTATCTCCTAATGCTATCCCTCCCCCCTACCCCCACCACACAACAGGCCCCGGTGTATGATGTTCCTCTTCCTGTGTCCGAGTGTTCTCATTGTTCAATTCCCACCTTTAAGTGAGAACATGCGGTGTTTGGTTTTTTGTCCTTGCAATTATTTGCTATTGTTTGCTGAGAATGATGGTTTCCAGCTTCATCCATGTCCCTACAAAGGACATGAACTCATCATTTTTTATGGCTGCATAGTATTCCATGGTGTATATGTGCCACATTTTCTTAATCCAGTCTATCACTGATGGACATTTGGGTTGGTTCCAAGTCTTTGCTATTGTGACTAGTGCCACAATAAACATACGTGTGCATGTGTCTTTTTTTTTTTTTTTTTTGAGACGGAGTCTCGCTGTCGCCCAGGCTGGAGTGCAGTGGCGCAATCTCGGCTCACTGCAGGCTCCGCCCCCTGGGGTTCACGCCATTCTCCTGCCTCAGCCTCCCGAGTAGCTGGGACTACAGGCGCCCGCCATCTCGCCCGGCTAATTTTTTGTATTTTTAGTAGAGACGGGGTTTCACCGTGTTAGCCAGGATGGTCTCGATCTCCTGACCTCGTGATCCGCCCGCCTCGGCCTCCCAAAGTGCTGGGATTACAGGCGTGAGCCACCGCGCCCGGCCGTGCATGTGTCTTTATAGCAGCATGATTTATGATCCTTTGGGTACATACCCAGTAATAGGATGGCTGGGTCAAATGGTATTTCTAGTTCTAGATCCCTGAGGAATTGCCACACTGACTTCCACAATGGTTGAACTAGTTTACAGTCCCACCAACAGTGTAAAAGTGTTCCTATTTCTCCACATCCTCTCCAGCACCTGTTGTTTCCTGACTTTTTAATGATTGCCATTCTAACTGGTGTGAGATGGTATCTCATTGTGGTTTTGATTTGCATTTCTCTGATGGCCAGTGATGATGAGCATTTTTTTCATGTGTCTGTTGGCTGCATAAAAGTCTTCTTTTGAGACATGTCTGTTCATACCTTTTGCCCGGTTTTTGATGAGGTTGTTTGTTTTTTTCTTGTAAGTTTGTTTGAGTTCTTTGTAGATTCTGGATATTAGACCTTTATCAGATGAGTAGATTGCAAAAATTTTCTCCCGTTCTGTAGGTTGCCTGTTCACTCTGGTGGTAGTTTCTTTTGCTATGCAGAAGCTCTTTAGTTTAATTCGATCCCATTTGTCAATTTTGGCTTTTGTTGCCATTGCTTTTGGTGTTTTAGACATGAAGTCCTTGCCCATGCCTATGTCCTGAATGGTATTGCCTGGGTTTTCTTCTAGGGTTTTTATGGTTTTAGGTCTAACAATTAAGTCTTTAATTCATCTTGAATTAATTTTTGTATAAGGTGTAAGGAAGGGATCCAGTTTCAGCTTTCTGCATATGGCTAGCCAGTTTTCCCAGCACCATTTATTAAATAGGGAATCCTTTCCCCATTTCTTGTTTGTGTCAGGTTTGTCAAAGATCAGATAGTTGTAGATGTGTGGTATTATTTCTGAGGGCTCTGTTCTGTTCCATTGGTCTATATCTCTGTTTTGGTACCAGTACCATGCTGTTTTGGTTACTGTAGCCTTATAGTATAGGTTGAGGTCAGGTAGCGTGATGCCTCCAGCTTTGTTCTTTTGGCTTAGGATTGTCTTGGCAATGCGGGCTCTTTTTTGGTTCCATATGAACTTTAAAGTAGTTTTTTCCAATTCTGTGAAGAAAGTCATTTGTAGCTTGATGGGGATGGCATTAAATCTATAAATTACCTTGGGCAGTATGGCCATTTTCACCATATTGATTCTTCCTATCCATGAGCATGAATGTTCTTCCATTTGTTTGTGTCCTCTTTTATTTCGTTGAGCAGTGGTTTGTAGTTCTCCTTGAAGAGGTCCTTCACATCCTTTTTAAGTTGGATTCCTTGGTGTTTTATTCTCTTTAAGCAATTGTGAATGGGAGTTCACTCATGATTTGGCTCTCTGTTTGTCTGTTATTGGTGTATAAGAATGCATGTGATTTTTGTACATTGATTTTGTATCCTGAGACTTTGCTGAAGTTGCTTATCAGCTTAAGGAGATTTGGGGCTGAGACGATGGGGTTTTCTAAATATACAATGATGTCATCTGCAAGCAGGGACAATTTGACTTCCTCTTTTCCTAATTGAATACCCTTTATTTCTTTCTCCTGCCTGGTTGCCCTGGCCAGAACTTCCAACACTATGTTGAATAGGAGTGGTGAGAGAGGGCATCCCTGTCTTGTGCCAGTTTTCAAAGGGAATGCTTCCAGTTTTTGCCCATTCAGTATGATGTTGGCTATGGGTTTGTCATAGATAGCTGTTATTATTTTGAGATACATCCCATCAATACCTAATTTATTGAGAGTTTTTAGCATGAAGGGCTGTTGAATGTTGTCAAAGGCCTTTTCTGCATCTATTGAGATAATCATGTGGTTTTTGTCTTTGGTTCTGTTTATATGCTGGATTACATTTATTGATTTGTATATGTTGAACCAGCCTTGCATCCCAGGCATGAAGCCCACTTGATCATGGTGGATAAGCTTTTTGATGTGTTGCTGGATTCAGTTTGCCAGTATTTTATTGAGGATTTTTGCATTGACGTTCATCAGGGACATTGGTCTAAAATTCTCTTTTTTTGTTGTGTCTCTGCCAGGCTTTGGTATCAGGATGATGCTGGCCTCAAAAAATGAGTTAGGGAGGATTCCCTCTTTTTCTATTGATTGGAATAGTTTCAGAAGGAATGGTACCAGCTCCTTCTTGTACCTCTGGTAGAATTCGGCTGTGAATTCGTCTGGTCCTGGACTTTTTTTGGTTGGTAGGCTATTAATTATTGCCTCAATTTCAGAGCCTGTTATTGGTCTATTCAGGGATTTAACTTCTTCCTGGTTTAGTCTTGGGAGGGTGTATGTGTCCAGGAATTTATCCATTTCTTCTAGATTTTCTAGTTTATTTGTGTTTAGGTGTTTATAGTATTCTCTGATGGTAGTTTGTATTTCTGTGGGATTGGTGGTGATATCCCCTTTATCATTTTTTATTGCGTCTATTTGATTCTTCTCTCTTTTCTTCTTTATTAATCTTGCTAGCGGTCTATCGATTTTGTTGATCTTTTCAAAAAACAAGCTCCTGGATTCATTGATTTTTTGAAGGGTTTTTTGTGTCTCTATCATCTTCAGTTCTGCCCTGATCTTAGTTATTTCTTGCCTTCTGCTGGCTTTTGAATGTGTTTGCTCTTGCTTCTCTAGTTCTTTTAATTGTGATGTTAGGTTGTCAATTTTAGATCTTTCCTCCTTTCTCTTTTGGGCATTTAGTGCTATAAATTTCCCTCTACACACTGCTTTGAATGTGTCCCAGAGATTCTGCTATGTTGTGTCTTTGTTCTCATTGGTTTCAAAGAACATCTTTATTTCTGCCTTCATTTTGTTATGTACCCAGTAGTCATTCAGGAGCATGTTGTTCAGTTGCCATGTAGTTGAGTGGTTTTGAGTGAGTTTCTTAATCCTGAGTTCTAGTTTGATTGCAGTGTGGTCTGAGAGACAATTTGTTACAATTTCTGTTCTTTTAATTTGCTGAGGAGTGCTTTACTTCCAAATATGTGGTCAATTTTGGAATAAGTGCAATGTGGTGCTGAGAAGAATGTATATTCTGTTGATTTGGGGTGGAGAGTTCTGTAGATGTCTATTAGGTCTGCTTGGTGCAGAGCTGAGCTCCATTCCTGGATATCCTTGTTAACTTTCTGTCTCATTGATCTGTCTAATGTTGACAGTGGGGTGTTAAAGTCTCTCATTATTATTGTGTGGGAGTCTTAAGTCTCTTTGTAGGTCTCTAAGGAGCTGCTTTATGAATCTGGGTGCTCCTGTATTGGGTGCATATATATTTAGGATAGTTCGCTCTTCTTGTTGAATTGACCCCTTTACCATTATGTAATGGCCTTCTTTGTCTCTTTTGATCTTTGTTGGTTTAAAGTCTGCTTTATCAGAGACTAGGATTGCAATCCCTGCCTTTTTTTTGTTTTCCATTTGCTTGGTAGATCTTCCTCCATCCCTTTATTTTGAGCCTACTTGTGTCTCTGCACGTGAGATGGGTCTCCAGAATACAACACACTGATGGGTCTTGACTCTTTATCCAATTTGCCAGTCTGTGTCTTTTAATTGGAGCATTTAGCCCATTTACATTTAAGGTTAATATTGTTATGTGTGAATTTGATCCTGTCGTTATGATGTTAGCTGGTTATTTTGCTCGTTAGTTGATGCAGTTTCTTCCTAGCATCAATGGTCTTTACAATTTGGCATGTTTTTGCAGTGGCTGGTACCTGTTGTTCCTTTCCATGTTTAGTGCTTCCTTCAAGAGCTCTTGCAGGACAGGCCTGGTGATGACAAAATCTCTCAGCATTTGCTTGTCTGGAAAGGATTTTATTTCTCCTTCACTTATGAAGCTTAGTTTCACTGGATATGAAATTCTGGGTTGAAAATTATTTTCTTTAAGAATGTTGAATATTGGTCCCCACTCTGTTCTGGCTTGTAGAGTTTCTGCTGAGAGATCTGCTGTTAGTCTGATGGGCTTCCCTTTGTGGGTAACCCGACCTTTCTCTCTGGCTGCCCTTAACATTTTTTCCCTCATTTCAACTTTGGTGAACTGACAATTATGTGTCTTGGAGTTGCTCTTCTCGAGGAGTATCTTTGTGGCATTCTCTGTATTTCCTGAATGTGAATGTTGGCCTGCCTTGCTAAGTTGGGGAAGTTCTCCTAGATAATATCCTGTAGAGTGTTTTCCAACTTGGTTCCATTCTCCTTGTCACTTTCAGGTACACCAGTTGGACGTAGATTTGGTCTTTACACATAGTCCCATATTTCTTGGAGGCTTTGTTCATTTCTTTTTACTCTAAACTTCTCTTCTCGCTTCATTTCATTCATTTGATCTTCAATCACTGATACCCTTTCTTCCAGTTGATCAGATTGGCTTCTGAAGCTTGTGCATGCTTCAGGTAGTTCTCGTGCCATGGTTTTCAGCTCCGTCAGGTCATTTAAGGACTTCTCTACACTGGTTATTCTAGTTGGCCATTCATCTAATCTTTTTTCAAGATTTTTAGCTTCTTTGCGATGGGTTCAGACTTCCTCCTTTAGCTCGGAGAAGTTTGATCATCTGAAGCCTTCTCTCAACTCATCAAAGTCATTTTCCATCCAGCTTTGTTCTGTTGCTGGCGAGGGGCTGTGTTCCTTTGGAGGGGGAGAGGCGCTCTGATTTTTAGAATTTTCAGCTTTTCTGCTCTGTTTTTTCCCCATCTTTGTGGTTTTATCTAACTTTGGTCTTTTATGATGCTGATGTACAGATGGGGTTTTGGTGTGGATGTCCTTTCTGTTTGTTAGTTTTCCTTCTAATAGTCAGGACCCTCAGCTGCAGGTCTGTTGGAGTTTGCTGGAGGTTCACTCCAGACCCTCTTTGCCTGGGTATCAGCAGTGGATGCTGCAGAACAGTGAATATTGGTGAATAGCAAATGTTGCTGCCTGATTGTTCCTCTGGAAGCTTCGTCTCAGAGGGGTACCCAGCCATGTGGGTGTCAGTCTGCCCCTACTGGGGGTGCCTCCCAGTTTGGCTACTCAGGGGTCAGGGACCCACTTGAGGAGGCAGTCTCTCCATTCTCAGATCTCAAACTCCTTGCTGGGAGAACCACTGCACTCTTCAAAGCTGTCAGACAGGGACATTTAAGTCTGCAGAGGTTTCTCTGCCTTTTGTTTGGCTATGCCCTGCCCCCAGAGATGGAGTCTACAGAGGCAGGCAGGCCATCTTGAGCTGCGGTGGGCTCCACCTAGTTCGAGCTTCCAGGCCGCTTCGTTTACCTACTCAAGCCTCAGCAATGGTGGGTGCCCCTCCCCCAGCCTTGCTGCCACCTTGCAGTTTGATCTCAGACTGCTGTGCTAGCAATGAGGGAGGCTCTGTGGGCATGGGACCCTCCGAGCCAGGTGCAGGATATAATCTCTTGGTGTGCCGTTTGCTAAGACCGTTGGAAAAGCACAGTATTAGGGTGGGAGTGACCCAATTTTCCAGGTGCCATCTGTCACAGCTTCCCTTGGCTAGGAAAGGGAATTCCCTGACCCCTTTCACTTCCTGGGTGAGGTAATGCCTCACCCTGCTTCGGCTCATGCTTGGTGGGCTGCACCCACTGTCCTGCACCCACTGTCTGACAAGCCCCAGTGAGATAAACCTGGTACCTCAGTTGGAAATGCAGAAATCACCCGTCTTCTGCGTCGCTCATGCTGGGAGCTGTAGACTGGCGCTGTTCCTATTTGGCCATCTTGGAACTGCTGAAGATATTTTCTTATTACAAGTGTATACATGCACAAACATCTTTTTAACAAAAGAAGAAGAAAATACTCATGACAATTTCAGTCCTTGTTTTGCAGCTGGTCATGTGGTTGTACCTGGTATTGATGACCGCCTTCTTCTACTACCCATTCTGTATTCCCTTTGCCTTCAGCAAACACCTCAGCAGGTCAAGGTGTTTTTTTTGTGGTGGTGTGACCCAAACCTTATTCCTGAAGGTTCTGGGTCATTTGTAGTCCTGCCCAGATTGGGCTGCTGTAGTTTCCCATTGACCTTAATCACAGGGCATGGTAATACTAAGAGACGCCCTAATGGCCTCCTATTTATATATATATACTCTTCCTTACCTCCGTTGTAGAGTAGCAGACTGATTTCGTCTTGATAGTCTGGGTCAATCACCCCAGCCAACACTGTAACTCCTTTCTTAGCCTGTTAACTTAAAGGGAGGAGGAGCCCAAAGTGTCCAAATGCAATCTTAACTTCCAGTTTAATGGAATCGTTGTCGTGTCTCCTGGTGGCAGCATCTCTCCCTCTGGAACTAAGACCACCAGGTCAGCAGAATGTAATGTCATGGGAACAGGAAGCAAAAATTTTGCTAGTGGATCACTAGGGGTGATGGTGAGTGGTGCCACTTCCACTTCCATCCTTTGATTCCTGGACGCATGAATCCTGGCTGTGGGAGACACAGTACCATATATTGGATGCTGATTCAGAGCATACATGGCCTTCTGGACATGCCACAGCCTTGCAATGTATTGTCACCTAGTTGGCATTGTAACTGTGACTTCAAAAGGCCATTCTGCCATTCTGTCAATCCAACTGCTTTGAGATGATGGGGAACATGGTAAGACCAGTGAATTGTAAATTCCATGAGCATGAGCCCCCTGCCACAGTTTTGTTTTGTTTTTGTTTTTTTTGAGACGGAGTCTCAGTCTGTCACCCAGGCTAGAGTGCAGTGGCACGATCTCAGCTCATTGCAACCTCTGTCTCCCTGGTCCAAGCGATTCCCCTGCCTCAGCCTCCCAAGTAGCTGGGATGACAGGCATCCTCCAGCACACCTGGCTAATTTTTGTATTTTTAGTAGAGATGGGGTTTCATCATGTTGGCCAGGCTGGTCTCAAACTCCTGAACTCAGGTAGTCCACCTGCCTCGGCCTCCCAAAGTGTTGGGATTACAGGCGTGAGCCACTGCACCTGGCCTGCCACACTTCTTTTGCCATAAAGTGAGTGCCTTGGTCAGAGACAGCGCTGTGTGGAATACCATGACAGTGGATAAGGCATTCTGTGAGTCCACAGATGGTAGTTTTGGCAGAAGCATTGCATGTGGGATCGGCAAACCCATATCTGGAGTAAGTGTCTATTCCAGTGAGGACAAACCTCTGTCCTTTGTATAATGGAAGAGGTCTGATATAATCAACCTGCTACCAGGTAGCTGCCTGATCACTGCAAGGAATGGTGCCATATCGAGGGCTCAGTGTTGGTCTCTGCTGCTGGTAAATTTGGCACTCAGCAGTGGCTGTAGCCAGGTCAGCCTTGGTGAGTGGAAGTCCATGTTGCTGAGCCCATGCGTAACCTCCATCCCAGCCACCATGGCCACTTTGTTCATTGTCCCTTGGTGTGAAGACGGGGTGACTGGGGAAAGAGGCTGAGTGGTGTCCACAGAACAGGTCATCCTATCCACTTGATTATTAAAATCCTCATCTGCTGAGGTCACCTGTTGGTGAGCATTCACATGGGATACAAATATCTTAACAGTTTTTAACCACTCAGAGAAGTCTATCTGTATACCTCTTCCCCAAATTTCTTTGTCACCAATTTTCCAATCATGCCTCTTCCAAGTCCCTGACCATCCAGCCAAACCATTGGCTACAGCCCATGAATCAGTATATAATCGCACATCTGGTCATTTCTCCTTCCATGCACAGTGCACAACCAGGTGCACTGCTCAAAGTTCTGCCCACTGGGAAGATTGCCCTTCACTGCTGTCCTTCAGGGATGTCCTAGAAAGGGGCTGTAGTGCTACAGCTGTCCACGTTTGGATGGTTCCTGCATATTGTTAAGAACCACCTGTGAAACAGGCCCTAGTCTTCTCTTCCTCTGTCAACTGATTATAGGGAACTCCCCATGAGTTCATCGGTGCAGGCTGGGGGAGAGGAGGCAGGGTGGCAGAAATGGAGACCATGGGCATTTGAGCCACTTCCTCATGTAACTTACTTGTGCCTTCAGGACCTGCTCGAGCCCAATCACATACATACCACTTCCATTTGATGATGGAATGCTGCTGTGCATGACCCACTTTATGGCTAGATGGGTCAGAAAGCACTCAATTCATGATAGGCTGTTTAGGTAACATGGTAATTTGATGTCCCGTAGTCAAACGTTCAGTTTCCACCAAAGCCCAGTAACAGGCCAAGAGCTGACTCTCAAAAGGAGAGTAGTTATCTGAAGAAGATGTCAGAGCCTTGCTCCAAAATCCTAGAGGCCTCTGCTGTGATTCACCTATGGGGGCATGCCAAAAGCTCCAAACAGCATCCCTATCTGCCACTGTCACCTCAAGCACCATTGGATCTACTGTATTGTATGGCCCAAGTGGCACAGCAGCTTGCACAGCAGCCTGGACCTGTTGCAGAACCTTCTACTGTTCTGGACCCTACTCAAAACTGGCAGCCTTCGGGGTCACTAAATAAATGGGCTGGAGTAACACACCCAAATGAGGAATGTGTTGCCTCCAAAATCCACATAGACCCACTAGGTGTTATGCCTCTTTCTTGGTTGTAGGAGGGGCCAAATGGCAGCAACTTATCCTTCACCTTAGAAATAATATCTCAACAGGCCCCACACCACTGGACTTGTAGAAATTTTACTGAGGTAGAAGGTCCCTGAATTTTACTTGGATTTATTTCCCATCCTCTGGCATGCAAATGTCTCACCAATAAGTCCAGTGTGCTTGCTACTTCTTGCTCACTGGATCCAATCAGCATAATATCATCAATGTAATGGACCAGTGTGATACCTTGCGGAAGCAAAAAGTGATCAAGCTCTCTCTGAATAAGATTATGACACAAAGCCGGAGAACTGATATACCACTGAGGTTGGACAGTAGAGGTATATTGCTGGCCTTGCCAGCTGAAGGCAGATTGCTCCTGGAGGGCCTTATGGACAGGAATGGAGAAAAAGAAATTTGCCAAGTCAATGTCTGCATACCAGGTACCAGGATATGTGTTAATTTGCTCAAGCAATGAAACCACATCTGGTACAGCAGTTGCAATTGGAGTCATCACTTGGTTAAGCTTACAATAATCCACTGTCATTCTCCAAGATCCATCTGTCTTTTGCAAAGGCCAAATGAGAGAGCTGAATGGTGATGTGGTGGGAATCACCACCCCTGCATCTTTCAAATCCTTGATGGTGGCACTAATCTTCGCAATCCCTCCAAGGATGCGATATTATTTTTGATTTACTATTTTTCTAGGTAGTGGCAGCTCTAATGGCTTCCATTTGGCTTTTCCCATCATAATGGCCCTCACCCTACCAGTCAGGGAGCCGATGTGGGGTTTCTGCCAGCTGCTAAGTGAGTCTGTGCCAATTACGCATTCTGGCCCTGGAGAAATGACTACAGGATGAGTCCGGGGACCCACTGGACCCACTGTAAGTCAGACCTGAGCTAAAACTCCATTAATTACCTGACCTCCATAAGCCCTATTTTAACTGGAGGGTCACAATGATGTTTTGGGTCCCCTGGAATCAACATCAGCTAAGAGCCGGTGTCCAATAGTCCCCGAAATGTCTGATCGTCTCCTTTTCCCCAATGCACAGTTACCCTGGTTAAAAGGCCAGAGGTCCCCTTCGGGAAGGATGGGAGAAAGATTCACTGCATAAATTGTCAGTAGCATAGTGGGGTCCTTCCTCAAGGGGACCCGGCCTCCCCTTCATTCAAGGGGTTCTGAGTCTATAAACTGGCTCAAGTCTGGAAATTGAGAGACTGTGATTTCCTGTTTTTATCATTCAAACGATGATCCATTCGAAATAGAAGTTTTCTGCTTATATAAATTAAGTAGAAATGCAGTAGGCTTCCTATCAATTTCACTTCTAGGAACACTGTGATTAATTAGCCAATGCCAGAGCTCTACATGAGTCAGACTATTTTGATTACTGCTTTGCCTCTGCTGTCCATTACAGTAGCTAAACCCAGCTTGCCTTTGATGGTTGAATGTACCACTTGGCCCCTGCCACCTCAGGATCCAATTATTCCTATTGTATTTAAATTTTGTAGCTGAGTTACTTTGGTTCCCACTGTTAGACCCGACATATGGAGAAGAGCAATTACAGGGCTCTTCAAAGATCCAGGTGCTGCTGACACAAATCTATTTCACAAGGCATTGGTCAAGGGTATATCTTCTGGACCCTCCCAGCTGGAATGAGTAGGTCTAAAGTGACTAATCCACTCCACCATCCCAATCTCGCTAAGCCTTTGGATCCCTTTCTCTACATTAAACTAAGGGAGATCAGGTATTTCCATCTCACTCACAATGGGCCATCTTTTAATCCATATTTCAGCTAACCAAGCAAAGAAACTATTAGAATGTTTTTTAACTCCCCAAGCTGCAACATTAAATGCAGATTCCTACTTAGTGGGCCCAAATCAATAAATTCAGCCTGATCCAACTCTATGTTCCTTCCACCATTATCCCACACCCTTAATATCTATTCCCATGGCTATTCTCCAGATTTCTGTTTATATAAATTAGAAAACTCAAGCAGTATCCATTCCCATGACTATTTTCCAGATTTCTGTTTATATGAATTAGAAAACTCAAGCAGTTCTTTTTGAGTGTAGCACGCTTCCTCATGGGTCACCCTCTCAACCTCACCTCTAGGGGCCCGCTGGGACTTTAGTCTAGTTATAGGTCTGGAAGCAAACAGGGATGTTGTGGGTGGCTCCTGAGGAGAATCAACATTATCTTGCTTGGCAACTGCCTCAGGGGAGGTAATCACTGTTGCCTCAGGCAACACAGGGTTTATCTCCTCAGACAAAAGTTGAAAAGCTGTTGGCAGCATGGCTCAGGGAGGGCATGTTGCCACTACTGGGGATGGGGAAGCTCTTTCTTCTGAAAGAAAAGTTTCATCAGAGTTTACAAACTCAGTGTCCCCAGCTTCATCAGGGTCCTCCCACACATCCCCATTCCAAGTTTCAGCGTCCCATTCTTTTCCAGTCAATGCCCTCACTTTAACAGTAGAGATCTGGCAAGGCTGTGCATGCAACTTGGGTTGCAGGTCAGCCACTCACATGATAGAAGCTTGTGTCTGTTTTTCCACAATTTCAGCTCTTTCTCTACAGGAGATAAGACTCTCACTCAGAGCAATTTTAGAAGATTTGAGGCTCAGTATCTGCTTCTGAAGCCGGGAGATAGAATCTCTGAGTTTATCATTTTCTTTCATCACTTTGTCCACTGAACTTAGGAGCAACCAACCACCTTCATTATGTTCCTTGGTTTTCCACTTATGGTCAAAGGTATTATGTATAGAGTCACTAAACTCCTTGCCCCTCACCAACGATGAATCAGGAGTGTCAAATGCATTTATTTTGCATAACTCTCTAAACAGTTCATGCCAAGGACTGTCGGTGTTCTCCATACTATTAGAAATAGAGTCCTTAGTATTTTGGGGTCAATCATATTAAGCAGCCAACTCCAGAAACCCCAAAACCAATGAAAGAACTCAATCCTTAATATTCTGTCCCTCTAGAACCTCTCCTGATACCAAAGTTTGTATTAGTCAGGGTTTTCTAGAGGTACAGAACTAATGAAATATATATATATACACACACACATATATATGTATACATATATGTGTATATATATGTGTGTGTGTATATATATATAAGCCATTTATTAAGTATTAACTTACATGATCACAAGGTCCAACAATAGGCCGTCTGCAGGGTGAGAAGCAAGGAGAGCCAGTCCGAGTTCCAAAACTGTAGAACTTGGAGTTTGATATTCAAGGACAGGAAGCATCCAGCACAGGAGAAAGATGTAGCTGGGAGGCCAGGCCAGTCTCTCTTTTCACATATTTTTGCCTGCTTATATTCTAGCCATGCTGGCAGTTGATCAGATTGTGCCCACCCAGATTAAGAGTCGGTCTACCTTTCCAAGCCCACTGACTCAAATGTTAATCTCCTGTGGCAACACCCTCACAGACACACCCAGGATCAATACTTTATGTCCTTCAATCCAATCAAGTTGACACTCATTATTAACCATCACAGTGGGGAAAGGGCACCCTATTCAACAAACAGTGCTGGGATAATTGGCATGCCACGTGTCTCTCACCTTATACAAAAAAATCAACTCAAGATAGATCAAAGACTTAAATCTAAGACCTGAGACCATAAAAATTCTAGAAGATAACGTTGGAAAAACCCTTCTAGACATTGGCTTAGGCAAAGACTTCAAGAACCCAAAAGCAAATGCAACAAAAAACAAGGATAAATATATGGGAGTTAACTAAACCAAAAAGCTTCTGCACAGCAAAAGAAATAGTCAGCAAAGTAAACAGACAACCCACAGAGTGGGAGAAAATCTCCACAATCTGTATGTCTAACAAAGGACTAATATCCAGAATCTACAAGGAACTCAAACAAATCAGCAAGAAAAAACCAAACAATCTCATTAAAAAGTGGGCTAAGGATGTGAATAGACAATTCTCAAAAGAAGATATACAAATGGCCAACAAACATATGAAAAAATGCTCAGCATCACTAATTAGCAGAGAAATGCAAATCAAAACCACAATGTAATACCACCTTACTCCTACAAGAATGGCCATAATAAAAATTTAAAAAAAAAAATAGATGTTGGAGTGTATGTGGTAAAAAGGGAACACTTTTCCATTGTTGGTGGGAGTGTAAACTAGTACAACCACTATGGAAAACAGTGTGGAGATTCCTTAAAGAACTAAAAGTAGAACCACCATTTGATCCAGTAATCCCATTCCTGTGTATCTATCTAGAGGAAAATAAGTCATTATACGAAAAAGATACTTCTACACACATGTTTACAGCAGCACAATTCACAATTGAAAAATCATGGAATCAACACAAATGCCCATCAATCAATGAGTGGATAAAGAAAACGTGGTATGTATATACCATAGAATGCTACTCAGTCATAAAAAGGAATGAAATAATCATCTTGCTCCTTGCTTAAAGCATATCTTATTATATATAATTCCTTCTCAATTTGTGTTGGAAACACCATCCTCACTGCTGCCTAAATAAAAGTTTAGGACCTGAAACCAAGATATTGTGACACAAAATATATAGTTAAGTAGCAGGTAGAACAAACCAAATAGCTTAATTGGGAGTTGGAATGAAAAAGGGGTCATTTTTAAATAGAATGTAAAGGAATGAAAGAAGATTCTCAGCTGGGAAATGGATTTCATATCATGTTTCCCAACACATAGAAATTCCTTGGGAAAGACTATGTTTCTCATTAAGAATCAACAGTGATGTACTGAAAATGGCACTAAGTTTGAACTCAAAAATCCTACATTCAAGTTGTAGGTTCTATCCTTATTAGCACTGTGACCCTGGACAAATCACTCACTGAGTCCCAATGCTTTTGTCTGTGAGCATCTTTTAAGAGCAAGAGCCATGGCTTTTCCTTTCTCTGAGCCCAGAGTGAGCACAGCACCTGAATGATGGTGTAAATGACCATTGCTGATTAGCAAGCAGCAATGATCATCATATGAGTACGTGTATTTACACGACCTGTGTAAACTCCATAGACTTATTCAGACGTGATTTCGTATACTTTTTTGTTTGTTTGTTTAGTTTCCATGAATGCAGTGCTTACACTGCTCTATTATTTGCTCTTGAAAGAAAAAAAAAAAAAAAAACCCAGAGACAGACATAAAGAGAGAAAGGAAGAAGCAAAATGAAAAAGAAAAAAGATACCGGCCAGGTGGGGTGGCTCACGCCTGTAATCCCAGTACTTTGGGAGGCCGAGGCAGGCAGATCACAAGGTCAAGAGATGGAGACCATCCTGGCCAACATGGTGAAACCCAGCCTCTACTAAAAATACAAAAATTACCTGGGTGTGGGGGCACGTGCCTGTAGTCCCAGCTACTTGGGAGGCTGAGAGAGGAGAATCACTTGAACCCAGGAGGTGGAGGTTACAGTGAGCCGAGATAGTGCCGCTGCACTCCATCCTGGTGACAGAGTGAGACTCCGTCTCAAAAAAAAAAAAAAAAAAAAAAAAAAAATAGAGATACCGAAGATTGAGAGCTCTAACATGAATGTTTTATGTAAATAGAATCTAGATTTAGCCTGAGTCACCCATGATGTTGTGACTCTACTGAATGAGGTGAAGCTAGTCATGCAAAATGCTCTGCCTTGATGAATAACCTCATCAGTGACTTTCTACATTGTAATATTTTCCATTTTTGAAAGACTCACTAGAAACTTTTCAAAATCAGTTTTAAAATAAGTGCAAGTGGAACACTCAAAATATTTGTAGGCTAGTGTTTCATTAAAAACCCAAATTCATATGACTGAAAGCAATAGAAAGTCAATGGAGAAAAAATAGGAGGCAAATACTTCTCCATTATTATATGTGTGTGACATGAGGCTGTTCTTATTTAAGAAAACAGTTTTGTTCCAAAAGAGTTTGTAAGAAAGTTATTTGGAATTCAAAACGCATTTTTTTGTATTAGCAAAGGCAACATGATTGGGTTTGCTGATTAGAAAACCACAAAGGCTTATCGAAACCATAGTTGAAACTGTATAATAATATCCATGACAAAAACAACACAAACAAGTTAGTGTATTGAGCATTTACTATATGCCAGGACTGTACTAAATGCTTTGCATACCTGCTTTCACAGAATCTTCATGATCACCTGCAAAAGAGGTAGCCTACTTTACACGTAAGTAACACAAAGCTAGGAAAATTCAAGCGACTTTCGCAGCTTACACAGCTATTAAGTGGCAGAGTGAACAGTGGGATTCATTTCTGGCTAACTTGAGTTTTAAACACTGCATTGCACTTCTCCAAGATTATTGGATTATATGGGATTTTTACCTCCTTTTCTAGTAGCCTAGAACAAGAGGTATTTTCCCTATTGGAGGCCTTCCTGCTCTCTATCCCTTCTTCTGTTGTCTCCTTAGGAGATTACCTTATCAAATATCTCCTCGCTTCATGTTTTCTTTAATTCCTTCCTTCTCTACCGGTTATTTCCTCTTGGTTGATAAGCCTGCTTAGGTCTCTCTCATCCTCAAAACGCAGCAGATACAACTTCCCTTTGCATATCTGCCTCCTTTGGCTGGTGTTCTCTCTCCCTCCTTCCTTTCTCAGCTGAGATTCCTAACATTGCCCCCTCCCGTTAACCTCCCCTAAACACTTCACACCTTGTCATCTGGTTTCCACCTCCCTGAATACCTGAACCAGCTCTGGCCAGGATTGCCAATGAGCACCCTGTTGCCAGCCTCAGTGAGCGCCCTGCAGTCCTCACCTTGTTGCTGCTGCATTTGACCCTGAACCCTCCCTGCTTTTTCAACTCTCTAGGCTCATCGCTCCTATTGACAACATTGGCCCTTTTTTTTTATTTTTTCTATTTAAGAGAAAGGATCCTGCTCTGTGGTCCAGGCTAGAGTGCAGTGGTGTGATCTTAGCTCACTGCAGTTTAGGTCTTCTGGGCTCAAGTGATTTGCTGAGTAGGGAGGCTTTTAAGTTGTTTTCCTAGTGGTCTGAATTTGTTGTACATGCCTCTTCTCTCTCTCTCTTCCTTCCTTCCTTCCTTCCTTCCTTCCTTCCTTTCTTTCCCTTTCTCTTTCTTTCTTTCTTTCTCTTTCTTTCTTTCTTTCTTTCTTTCTTTCTTTCTTTCTTTCTTTCTTTCTTTCTTTCTCTTTCTTCCTTCCTTCCTTCTCTTTCTTTCTCTCTCTCTTTCTCTGTTTCTTTCTTTCCTTTCTTGAATTGGTTCCTATTACCACTGCTCTTATCTTTTTACCTGTTCTCTCAGAATAACTTCATTTAGACCCATAGTATAGATACCCATTTTTTCCCCCACTAAAAACTCCAAAGCCATATTCCTAATCCTAAGTAATAGGAATATGCTGGACAACCCCAGATAAATCACCCATAGGTACCTCAGATTTAGAGAAGCAAACCTTGACCATTTACTCCCTATGCTTGCCACCCCAATCTGCACCTCTCCAGCCCTACTTCTGTCATCTCTGTCACAATGATCAGCAGCAGGAGCCACGTACATACCCAGTCTGGGACTGGAACCATCCCAGTCTCCTTCCTCTACTCTTTCCCAGAAGCCTCATACAATCGGCCCCTTAATATATCCCAAATGTGTCACCTACTCTCCATCAATAATGTAATGTCTTCATCATCTGTTTCCCAGATTTTTATCACAAAACAACCTTGTCTCCTTTTTACCACCTCTGATTCTTCCCCCATCAGGCCTCTAGGAATGAGCATAAATCTGAATGCTTGGCTTCCCTGTGTAGAATCCTAAAGTACTTGCTCACTAGCCAAGAAGGCCCATGTGTGACTTGCCTCTTAGCTAACTGTCCAGCCTCAACCCTCACTACACTGCTCCTTAAAAGTGTATCTTTTGTAACAATGAGCTGATTGAAGTGTCCCGCACATAAAAATTCTGGTTCACAAGCCCATGCCTTTGCTTACACTGTTTCCTGTGCCTAGGATGCGATCCCTGCTCATCTGAAACTTTCATTTGTTCTTGAGTACTTTGCTCAGCAATCCTATCTTCCAGGAACTATACCCAGACTTCACAAATGGAGAATAGAAGCCTATCCATTCTGTTCTGATAGATTCAACATTCCCCTCTACATAGCCCCAGCCATGCCGAATTATAATTCTTTCTCTTCTTGCCGGCTGTCCTGGACAGTGAGTTAATTGAAAGCAGAAATCCTGCCCTGTTCATTTCTGTATCCACAGTGTCTAACATAGTGCCTAGCACCAAGTGGGTGCTGAGTGAATTTATTTGACCTCAACTGGATTTAAGTTAGCCTTAAATTGGGACTTATTAGAATAAAAAATGACTCATGAAAGGAACTTCAGTAGGGTCTGAAGAAGCTAACCTACTTTTGGAGTGTCCCAATTGTGAGAAAGATCCCACCAGACTCTCCCTGGCTGTAGCAATGTCCATTGTAAAGCCAGAAGACAGTAGCACTGCCCTGCTTACTGCGATGTACAGGAGGAAAACGGGGGATGCCTAGGAGAAGCTTTCCTCACTGGAAAGGGAGTGAATCTTCTCAATTGCTCTGCATCTTCCTGTGCGCTCTTGGTTTGAAAGTGTGAATGCATTTTTTTCTGCTAGGGGAAGTCATTCATTGCATCCAAAGCCTGCCTTAGAACATAACCCTAGCACATGGCTCCCTGGTTAATAATTATGAGTGCCTGTTTCAAGTCTTGGGGAAAGAAGTTTCTTGCAATCTCTCCTCTGACACTTTTTGCTTGTAAATTAATCCATCAAGAAAATGGTGTTTCTTCCCAGCTCTTAAGGGATTCACACCACTTATGCAAACTCCCGGAGGCTCCAGTCTAAGTTGAGATGACCTAATGAGTTGCAGAGCCAAGCTCTTTAAAAGGCAGGCCTGCATTTACATATAGAATGATGTTGACGCAGGCAGCAGTGGGATCTCAGGTTTGTTGTTCTCCCAAACGCCACCCCCTCTCCCATCCTCACACTATGAGAGGGAAGCCGAAGTGGTTTATTAAGTTGCCTGAACTCTTTTTTGCTAATTCTCCATTTTCATTTTGTAGAAGGAAGGCTCCAATGAATCTGAGTCAGTAAGACCTGACTCAGCCTCCTTGTAATACATTTAATCATTTATTCATCCATCATCATTATTATCATGCACCTGCCCTGTGCCACAGAACCAGCAGTTGTGGAAAGACAGGATTCTACCAAGGGAGAGGCTGGCATTCCAGCTCTACCCCTGTCCTCGGCAATACTTATAGACATCTATTTAATGGGATAAGAATGGGATGTTCCCTACAATCCTTATGTACTGAGTGGTGGAGATCAGAACTGCAAATAGGTGGCACACCTTCTGCCCTTCATTCCACAGTGCCCGTGGGAGATAATGTTAGTGGCGTGCAAGACGAACGTGCTATTGTCAAGACGAACGTGCTATTGTTAGTGCAGATGGAAAGAGTGTGATATGGTGGAAATGCATAGTCTTAGTGTCATCGCACCTGATTTCACTACTTGGTGTAATTTTGGACAAGACATTTAGCCCCTGAGATATCCAGATTCCTGCTCAACTGTAAAGTGGGGATAATGGTATCTTACAAGGTTGTTTCTAAACATTCTATGAACTAATTACTGTATATAAGTACCTAGCATAATACTTGATACCAAGTAAGTGCTTTATAAATGTTATTCATTTCTCCTCTACAGGTGCAATTTTAGGCCTGTTGAGGCATATAAAAATGACTCAGACAAGATACTAAACTATGTGCTTTTAGATAGTTTACTAAACACTTTATTTAACAAAAAAGTACAGTCTGTGTTAAGCACTAAGAAAGTAACGCACTCAGGGAATTCAGAAGAAGAGACATGAGCAGAGGAAGTAAAGAGAAAGCTGTGGAGGAGCTAAAACCAAAAAAGAAGATATATGGTAAAGTTGGATGGAGGGATGGATGGCGGGATGGATAACTGATCGATGATAGATCGATTGCAGGCAATAGACAGACTTGTTTTAGAAGGACTCCTGTTATTGATTAGTTAGAGAAGGGGGGTGGGTGGGCAGATGGTTTATCAAAAGATCTGAAGGTGTGAATACTCAGTAGAGGGGAGTGTATAAAAGGTCAGTGAGAGCTACAGTTGAAACTGTAATTTAGCAACAAATGGTATAGAATCAGAGTTAGTGAGTGATCAACTAACCCAACTCCCTGTCCACGTAGGAGTCCTGTTTATAGCACTCCAGTGATCATGGTCTAGCCTCTGGAGAGCTAAGAAGTTAACCACTTCCTGTCAACTAATCTGTGAATGGCATGCAATACTGACAGTTCTTGTTTATTGACAGCCTGCTCAGTACCATGCTTGTTCTATACTGAAATCCTCTCAAGTGCCCTTGAGGAAGGAAGGTACTATTATCCTCATTTTACAGAAGAACAAACTGAGGTGCACAAATCCTGTAGCTAATTAAGGGCCCCAGAATCTGCACCAGGTCTTGATTGTTCCAAAGCCTGTCAAGCTATACATATCTCTGCATCCATATCATATTTCTGTTCATTGAGGACACAACTCATTTGATGTCAGTCTTGTCTAATCTGGGAACTCTCTTCTCAGAAGTCTTTCTTGCAACAAAAGATGCCTTTGCCCACCTCCTAATGCCTGTAGAACTCTTACTGGTTTTTGTGTTGTGTTTTGTTTTAAATCTGGTACTTAGAACCATCCCTCAAAAATCTCATTTCTGTTCAAATTCTGCTTCATAAATTCTCTCTTTGTTCTTTCTTTACATTAGGAAGAATTATCCAAAGATAATTGAAATTTTAAAGACTTGTTCTTGCTCTCATTCATGCTGACCTGAATAAGGTCTATTATCTGTCCTGTTGCACAACCCAATGTCTCCCTTCCAGAAGATGTATTAATGTCTTCAGTTATTCGAGGCATTCAACTGACTGAGCATGCTTGGGTTATTATAATTTGATTTATCAGACTCTTAAAGATTGTCCTTGATGGACTCGGCCTGCCTGGGGACTGACTAGGGAAGCTCTCCAGGAGCTGTGCCCATCTGACTTTCTGGACTCAGAAGGCAGTGAATGATGTCATCATGTTTGCTAAACTGGTTCCAGAGAGTAAAATGCCCCGGCTTGAAGGGATTTCAGAACAAGTACCATTCTTCTTAACTTCCTTCACAGACCCGCTGCTGTTCAGCCCTATGAGTTAACTAACAAATAAATACAGGACATTTTAATTGTAAACCTACTATGTGTCAGACATTGTGTAAGGTATTGAAGATGCAAAACTAATACCATTTCCTGCCTTGGAGAAGTTTACAATTGCAGATCACACAACAGGCTCTTTAACAGCTGTATCTTAGAGTTGGTGATCACTGCTATTACAGTGATCTGAGAAAAGTGATGTAGAAACTCAATCAGTGCAGGGATGTTCTCTACAATATCCACAAAATTGAGACTTTTAACCTACATTGCGTAGATCCAGTCATAGGATACCCAGTACCACACAAAGCCGTCCATTTCTTTGAGAGGCAATATAAAACACTGGACTAGAGTATAGGCTCTGGAGCCATACCATTTGGGCATGTTATTAAAGCTTTCGGTGCCTCATTTTCCTCAAGAATAAAATGCAGATGATAATAGTATCTATCTCATTGTGTTATTATGAGGATTAACTAAATTAATGCACATGAGGGTCTTAGAATAGAGCTCAGCACATAGTAAAGATGTCTGTTAATGTTAGTTACTGTGGCTGTGAAGAGAAAATGCTAGAAAACCTCCATGTATTAAGTCTGAAGTTGCCTCAGTCTGATATCCATCTGGTAGGCCCAGTGCCGTACCCTCTGGGGCAAAAAGTATGCCAGGCTCCAGCACTATGTAAAAACATTCAAATCTGGTAGGCTAAGTTGCAAAGGAAGGAAGATTGTGTGCTATTCTTTTCAGGAGAAAATACTGTTAAGTCCTCATCACATAAGGTAGTTATTGTGTGGACTGTCTCACTGAAAGGCTAGAAGACTCAAAATGGGGTTTGCTTATAACTTTCTGTTTACTTGGAAGGTGTTAGATTTCATAGCTAAAAGTGTAGATCTTTGTTGAACAGATTTTGTATATACAAAAACCTCTGTTGGTGCAGTAGGGATTGAAAAGGTGAATAAAGAGCAGTTCCTTCTATGGTGATTAAGAATGTGAACGCTGTCATGGGATTTAAATTCAAATCCAAGCTCTGTCATCTTCTAGGTGTGTGACCTTGAGCAATTAAGTTAACTGAGATTCAAGCTCCTCATCTATAAAATGGGATGATAATAATAATACCTGTTGCAGAGTGTGGTTGTAAGGAATAAATGAGGTGATATTTTTAAAGTTATTTGGCACAGAACCTAGAATATAACAGATACCAAGCTAATGTTGGGCAATTATTAATAAATATCCTATAAGCTCACAGTCTGGTTGAGGATGCAGACAGACAGAGAAAGATATTTATAAATAACCTATTATAGACACAGATAATAGGCAATGATATAAGAAGAAGGAGATAATTTTGCATTACATGATTGTGAACAGATAGATAAAAAGTTGTTTCTATCACTCATTTATTCATTCACTCAATAGTGTCTTTTATGTGCCAGCCACTATACTGGAAGAACAAGGATTGATCTGCTTGTTGGGACAACAGAATAAACTTTCAATTTTGGATAATTGTAGATTCACAGAAACATCATAAAGATAGTACAGAGAATTCCCATGTACTCGTCACTCAGTTTCTCCTAATATTGACTTCTTACATAACCATGATGCATTTGTTCAAAATAAACTATAGACGTTATTTGGATTTCACCAGTTTTCCACTCATGTCCTTTTTCTGTTCCAGAATCCAAACCAGGATACCACATTGCATTTATTTCCTTATATTTTTATGTGCATATTTGTTTGTTAAAAAGTAAATACGTTCACAATAGTTTCAGTCAACTCCCTGTCTCTGGGGTTCTTCTGAAGAGACTCGAATGAAGTGAGACCACTGTGGTTTGGTAACATCAGCTGTCAACTTTGCTTAAAGTTCTCAGTACCTACTATCTTAGCAGAAAATAAGTTCTGCAACTGATCCTTTATTCCATAAGTGAAATTACTAAATTAAGCCAAGCTGCAGTTTTAAAAGGATTTCCTTTAGAAGAATTAAATATCTCAATTTAGTAGTTCTAAAGAGATTCAAATTAAAAGAAGCTTTAAATTTTAGGTACTCTTTTAAAGAAAGAAACTTAAAAAAAATTAACCCAGATTATAAAAAATTGTTGAGCCAGTTCACCCAATACACATGCTTAATGTTCTTAAGATAGTACTTCAGTTGGGTAACTGTTGTCTATGCCTTTCAGCTGTGGTCACCCATCTCATTGTAAGCAGAGAAGCCAGTCATAGATAACTGGCTGCCTGGGGTCTTGGCCTTGACTGCTCTCTCTCCCCCTTGCCTTCTTTCGTTATTTTTCTCTTGGTCTCACTTCTGGTTTTTTCATTTCCTAGCTTTGTACTCCAAATCCTGATACCCATCTCAGTTCCTTTTTTGTGTTTTGTTTTCATTAAAAAAAATACGATTAATATGCTTTAAATAGAAAAAATTTGAACCTGCAGGTAAGCATAAAGGAGAAAATTTTAATTACCCATAATCTCCCATCACTATTAACATCCTTACATTCTGTATTCTGCCCATGTGCATATATATACACACATATATACAGTCATGCATTGCTTAATGACAGGGATATGCTCTGAGAAATGGGTTCTTAGGTGATTTCATCATTGTGTAAACATTATAGACTGTAGTTGTACAAACCTAGATGGTGTAGCCCACTTCACACCTACGCCTTAATGACTGCACCGTTTTATGTGCAGTCTGTCACTGGCTGAAAACATTATGCAGTGCGTGACTGTCTTCTCCCTAATAGGCCCATATGGTGATAATACTGTAACAATATGAAGCATTTGCACATGTATCAAGTCACTTAATTCTCAAACTGTTCTGTAAAGGGGATACTATTATTATCCTCATTTTACAGATGAAAAAACTAAGGCTCAAAAAGTAAGTGCTTTGCCTAAGATCAAACAGTTAGCAAGTGGTTGAGCTGGGATTCAAATGGTCAGGCTTCAGAGCCTGTGGTCTTAACCATGATGCCAAAATCACACTGCATATTATATTTTACTGCCTGCTTTTCTCTACTTAAAATATGTGATAAAGACCTTGCTATGTTAAGACATGTTCTCCTTTTAGATATTTTTTTAGGTGGCTAGTTTTATACACAATGCTTTAACAGACACCTTAACCAGGAGCCTTAGGACTTGTGTTGAATTGTTTATTCAATCTTTCTTTGTTTCCATGACTGTTTTGCTCATCTGTGTCTCTACTTCTGCTTCTTGGGCTGATTACCTTCTCTTCTCTCCCCATTATCTGTCCCCCAACTTCTACAAACATGCACACGTGCGCGCACACACACACACACACACACACACACACACACTCCCCTCTGCTCAGCTCTTAGCTTTATTCATTCCTTTCATGCTGAAGCATCCACAGCACTCCTGGAAACACATCTCCTCTGCCAGCTGGACTCTTAGGAGTAATTTTTATTTGTGGAGAACAATGACTTTATTATGAAATCTTTATTCTGGAGTATTCCTCTAGGTTTATACAAATATTCATTTCAATAAAAATTTATTGAGCATCCATAAAGTACAAAGTATTTGAGGGGCACAAAAGTGGAGCACCTGTCTTCCAGGAGTGTACAGTCCTAGTGGATGTCTGACAGACAAGTAGAATGAACCAGAATGCAAACTATTAGTAAAACGAAGGTATTAATAACATGAGGTGGGAGCCAAGGGGAAGAAGCTATGAATTTTGATTGGAAGGAAGGCTTGAAGAAAGTTTCCAGAGAAAGTAACTAGATGACTTATTATCATTACTTGTTCTGTCTTCAGTGGGTATCATACATGATAGTGTGACAGGCTGGGTCACCCAGGAACCAGGGCCTTGAGCCCAACATTTGAAGGGGGAAGAGCAATAGGTTGACCAACTGTTCTGGTTTGTCCAGGACTGAGGGAAGTTCCCAGCACATGGAACTTCTAGTACTAAGACCAGAAAGCCCTAGGAAAACTGCGACAAATCAGTCATCCTAAATAGCAGTGAACAATGCAGACAAAGCCTACTGCCCTGATTGAGCTCACAGATTATAAAACTAGTAAAGGAATAAAAGAATATTGTGGGAGGTAGATAGTGTGGTAGAGAAAAATAAGGCAGACTAGGAGGATAGAAAAGAACTGGAGTGCTGGGGCTTGGGTCAGTGATCTGTATTAGATTGGGTAGTCAGGGAAGGCCTTCCAATGAGTTGTCATTTAAGAAGACATGAATGTAGAATGACAGTCATGTGGACACCTGGAAGAAAACATTCTAGGCCAGTGCAGTTCAAGCCTAGAGGCTGAGGAAACAAAAAGCCAGGAATGGGATCAGAGAGGTAGCCAGGAGTCAGGTCACACAGGGCCCTGTGGGCCATGGGAGGTGATTTGGGTTTCATTCTAAGAGAGTACCTTGGGAGATTTGAGGAGAGGCATTGTATTAGTCCATTCCCACACTGCTATAGAGAACTGTCCAAGGCTGGGTAATTTATAAATGAAAGAGGTTTAATTGACTCACAGTTCCGCATGGCGGGGGAGGCCTCAGGGAACTTACAATCACGGGTGGAAAGGGAAGCAAACACATCCTTCTTCACATGATGGCAGGAAGGAAAAGTGCCTAGCAAAGAGGGAAAAGCCCCTTTTGAAATCATCAGGTCTTGTGAGAACTCACTCACTATCAATGAGAATAGCAGCATGGGGGTAACCACTGCCATGATTCTATTACCCCCCACTGGGTCCCTCCCATGACACATGGGGATTATGGGAACTACAATTCAAGATGAGATTTGGTTGAACACACATCCAAACCATATCAGGCATGAAGTCATCTGCCATATGTTTTATAAGGACCACTCTGGCCGCTATGTGGGAACAGAGTGTGGGATGAAAGTGGGAGGCTAATTAGGAAGTGACTACAATAATCTAGAAGGACAAAGTATGTATCAGAAAGTACAGAGGCCTTAGACAACACAACCCAGTCGTTACTATAGGGAAACTCCTTGCAAATTACTTAATTTCTGTTAGCCTTTAATCTTCTTATCTATGAAGTAGGGATTAACAAATTACACAAGCTAAATAAAATAATGTGTATGAAAGTGACTAGCAAAGCACCTACAGTTCTATTATGAAAATAGGATGCCATAGGAATTAAAATGTTGAATTGCTAATCTGATTCTTACGGCCAGTGACTAGCCACACACAAATCTGAGTGTTTATGTCAGACATAAATGCATATTCTCATGCATTGGTTGGATCCTTCCAGTTCTGTAAGTGTACATATTTGTTCTTTTTATTTTATTTTTAGAGATGAAGTCTTGCTCTGTTGCCCAGGACAGAGTGTAGTGGTATGATCAGAGCTCACTGTAGCCCCAGACTCTGGCTTCTACCTCAGATGATCCTCCCACCTCAGCCTCCTGAATAGCTAGGACTACAGGTCCATGCCACCATGCCCGGCTAATTTTTAATTTTTTTTGTAGAGATGGGGTCTTGCTATGTTGCCCAGGCTGGTTTTGAACTCCTGGCCTCAAGCAATCAATCCTCTGGCTGTGGCCTCCCAAAGTGCTGTCATTATAGGTGTGTGCCACCACACCTGGCTATATGTTCTTTTTAATGCAATAAAAAGCATTAACAATTCCTAAATATGCTTAGTAGTTTTGTAGTACTATTTCTTTGCTCCTGTGGTTTTCTCTGCTCGGCAATGCCATTCCTTCTACTCAAATCCTTTTCTGCTTGGCCCAGGTCCAAATTTACCTTCCCCATGGAATCTTCTCTAAGTCTTTTACCGACAGAGTCAATTACTACTTTCTCATTATTTTCTTAGGACTTTGTGTTTTTACTCTATTTTACATTATCAGCTTTTATTACAGTTTGTTTTTTATATGCCCATTTGTCTAATAAAAAAATGAGGGCAGGTACAATGTTTAATTTATCTAAGATATGACAAGGGTAACCACTTGCTGCATAGCTCAGTCCCTAGCAGGAACCTAAGAAATTACTAATGAGTCGGATGGACATGATTGTGCTTAGAACTTGATCTCTGGTATATCACTCAGGAAAATTGCAGAAACAGCATGACATAGGGGAAGGAGTGGGTTTGAAGTCAGACAGACTGAAGAGCAAAACCAGGGCCTGACATTTACTAAGCTATGTGGTTCTGCCTAAACCATTTCATCTGCCTGAATCTGCCCTTCAACAGTGTATTAATTATCTATTCCTAGGTAGAAAACCGTGAAACTTAACAACAATCCTTTATTATTTCACACGATTCCTGAGGGTCAGGAGTCCAGGAGCAGCTTAGCTGGGTGGTTCTGTTTTAGGATCTCTTGGTTTGCATGTTAGCTGGGGCTACAGTCACCCAAAAGCTTGACCAGGCTAAAGGATATGCCTCCAAGCTCACTCCCAGAATTGTTGGCAGGAGGCTCTAGTTCCTCTTCACAGTAACCTCTCCATAGACTGCTCAAGAACATGGCAGCTGGCTTCCCCCCAGAGCAAGTGATCTGAGAGTGGGAGAGACACAGACAGACATGGAAGCTGCAGGGCTTTTTATAACCTAATCTCAGAAGTGACATATCATCTCTTCTGCCACATTCTATTGTCACACAGACCAACCCTGATACATTGTGGGAGAGAATTACATGAGAATATGAATACTAGCAGCAGCAGGCATCATTTGGGCCATCTTGGAGGCTGAATACTGTGAACAGGAATATTTACCCTATGACTGTTCAGAATGAAAAACTGAGCATCCTTAGCTTGCCTTGCTTAAGGAACTGCTTAATGGTTGCCATTAACCCTGGATAAATCCAAGGTCTCTGGCCTGACTCCCATGTAGTTTTCCAGCCTCTCCCTGCACCTCCTTTGTTTATACATTAAGCTCTATTGAACTCTTGGTCTGTGCTGTTCCCTCTGCTTGGAATGCCCTCATTTTCACTGTCTTGGTCCATCTAGTATAGACCTTATGCTTTCAACCATGCTCGCTTCCTTCCCTTAATTCCTACCCCTCCAACCCTTCTAAGTCTCCTTTCCTCACATCTTGACCCTAGGGGGTGTGGCCCACTGCCAGGCCTGGTAACAGGCTCCTCAGCACAATCTCAGAATAAACCAAACCCATCCACACCATGCAGTCCAAAAAGAATTTCCTTTTGGGTTTAACTTGGATTTAAGCCCTGGTTCTGGCTGTGTACTGAGTGGTTTCAGGAGGAAGATAAACAACACTTATGAATAAAAGTGTAACATTTATTATACTCCCAGAGAGCTAGCTGCTGCCTTGGGCACTTTCTCAGAAATTATCTTATTTAATCACATACATTTTTCTATTTGGGCAAGTGATCCTACCTTCTTGGATCATAGTTAACTCATTAGTAAAATGGGAATATTTCCCAAATATGCTCTGGACACTTCCATTCATCTGTGCCTTGCACACACCCTCCCCCACCCTAGGATGTCCTCTGATCCATCTCCACATGTTCACTCTTGCACAGCCCCCTGCGGTTTAAAACCATTTCTGCCCCTTAGGAGCTGTGCAACCTTAGGAAAGTGACTTTATTTCTCTAAGGCCAGAAAATAGCAGTATCTAACAATGACTACTGGTGCTGTTAGCATGTTGGCAAGAATTAGTAAGACTATGGTTGTTAGGAATATCTGAAATAGTATCTAATACCAATTTTGGGGTCAACAAATGTTCATTACCTTGTTTTTTTTCTAAGGCCCAAAGCAAACATAGACCCAAATATCACCTCATCTTGTCTTCCCAAAACCCATTTTGTTACATCTTCTTTCCCTGATAAAACTGCTTATATTCAAAAATTAAGTACATATCTCATAAACAAAAGCATTGTTGAGGGGAGAAGGGTGTTTTATCAGGCCCTACAAACCTAGATGTGGGTCTCAGAAAGCCTCCTTTGTTATACTGGCACTATGAAGAAAGATATGTTTAAACCTCTTTGAGCCTCAGTTTCCACAGAATAGGAATTTTTAAAGTTTTTATTGGCTGGGTGCGGTGGCTCACGCCTATAATCCCAGCCCTTTGGGAGACCAAGGCAGGCAGATCACAAGGTCAGGGGATCGAGACCATCCTGGCTAACACGGTGAAACCCCATCTCTACTAAAAATACAAAAAAATTAGCTGGGCGTGGTGGCAGGCGCCTGTAGTCCCAGCTACTCGGGAGGCTGAGGCAGGAGAATGGCGTGAACCTGGGAGGCAGAGCTTGCAGTGAGCCGAGATTGTGCCACTGCACTCCAGCCTGGGTGACAGAGCAAGACTCCCTCTCAAAAAAAAAAAAAAAGAAAGAAAAGTTTTTTTTGATACATAATGTTTGTACATATCTATGGGGCACATGTCATATTTTGATATATGCATAGAACGTGTCATGATCAAGTCAGAGTGTTTCGGATCTCCATCGCCTCGAGCATTTATCATTTCTTTGTGTTGGAACATTCTGAATCCTCTCTTCTAGCTATTTTTGAAATATACAGTACATTGTTGTTAAGTATATTCAGTCTACTGTGTTATTAAACATTAGGACTTTTTCCTTCTGTCTAACTGTATGTTTGGACCCATCAACCCACCTCTCTTCATTCCCCCTACCCACTACACACATTCTCCTCCTGGCCTCTGGTAACTATCACGCTACTTTCTACCTCCATGAGATCAGCTTATGATCTTCTGTATATAAATGAGAACTTGTGATATTTGTCTTTCTGTGCTAGGCTTATTTAACTTTAACATAATGAGCTTCAGTTCCACTCATGTTGCTGCAAATGACAGGATATGCAAATGACAGGATTTTATTCTTTTTTTATGGCCAAGTAGTATTCCACTTTGTAAATATACTACATTTTCTTTATCCATTCATCCATTGATGGACACCTAGGTTGATTTCACATATTTGCTATTGTAAATAGGGCTGCAATAACCACAGGAGTGAAGGTATCCCTTTGATATACCTATTTGCTTTCCTTTGGATAAATACGAGTCATGGGATTGCTGGATCGTATGGTAGTTCTATTTTTAGTTTTTTGAGAGATCTCCGTACTGTTTTCCATAGTGGTTGTACTAATTTACATTCCCACCAACAGTGTATAAGAGTTTCCTTTTCTCCACATCCTTGCCGGCATTTGTTATTTTTTTGTCTCTTTGATAATAACCATTCTAACTGGGGTAAGATGATATCATGTTGTGGTTTTGATTTGCATTTCCCTAATGATTAGTTATGTTGAACATTTTTTCATATACCTGTTGTTCATAAAATGGCAAAAATTAAATCTGCGTTTAGAAGAGTAGATGGAAGTAATACCACAATTTTAAAAAATCGTGGGCCAGAGCTTGGCCCATAGTAGATATTCAATAAGTGTGCTAATCCCTCTCTAGAACATGTACATTCCACTTATTCTTGTCAACACTTTGGGCCTCCTGGTTTTGCACGGCCACCAAAATGTGGCATCTGTTTATTAAGGGACAGCCTCACTAATTCATCTTCATGCTGGAAAACTAATTAGGCCTGGCCCTCATCTGTTTGGGTTTATGTCAGCAGTACTTTTCCCCATCACTATAAGCTCTGGACTACCTTGTCAATGTGCCCAAGTTTGCTGTAAAGAAGAAAGACTTTCCTCTCATTACTCACCTGACGTAGCTTCATTATTTATGTACAAGTTGGAGATGATCTTTGGCCTTTTTAAATTACATTTATTTTTATTGTCTTCTGTAATCCTATCATATTTTCAATTACCCACTCATTCATTCAGAAGTAGATTTCCCCCTTTGGCAGAAAAAAATAAAGCAAGTAATTTTACAAAGTAGCTCAAAGGTTTCTGTCCCAATCAGAATTATTCAGCTCAGCATTCTGTCCTCTGGATTCTCAGAGAATTTATAGAAGAAAGGTAATTTTTTAGATAACAAAAGATACCCACTTTCTCACTTCCTTGTCAGTTACACATGCAGTGACTCAAAGTAATTTGAAATCATATATTATTATTTTTGCCACAGCTTTGAATGGTAGCAGGAAATAGTCTTTATAAAATAAGTGCTTGAATCAGCAAGTTTATTCTTTCAGTATTACAATTGAATCCCGTACTTCAAATCCAGAAAAACATACTCCCCTCCTATTTTAGATTGTGTTATTTTAAAGCAGTAATTTTTATTCATTTGTTTGTTTTCCCAATTCATGTAATCACCCAAGGCAACAATGGGGTGATGAAATGTTCATTCTACAATATTTTTTGAAGACAATCAGCATTCTGGTCATTAATTAGACATACTTGGTCTGTACTGGCTGAGCTGATATTGATTCTTCCCAGTGCTTCCTAAGAAAACTGAAGCATCCCCTGAATATTTGAGAACAGCTCATCTGAGAGCTGAGGGAGCAACGTAAGAGAAGGGAGGTGTGCAAGGTTCTCAAAGGAAGGAAGGCATCACAATTGAAATGCTAAGGCTGCAATTTTGAAGCAAGTTCTTAGCATTTTGCCCCTTGTTCCCTGCTGTATCCCAAGCATGCAACTCATTGCCTGCACATGGCAGATGCTCCTTAGGTCTTTGTGACTGGAGGGTTGGAGAGTTGTAGGGGGGGTGAGTGGGCTCAAAAGAATCTCATTGTCTTAATGGTAATGAATATAGAACTTTTGTTTGCTGCTCTGCCCTCCTCATATTATAGATGAGTAAAGTGAGGACAGACAGGGGAAGTTCAACTCCTAACGCCATCCATGGCAGCAATGGGCCTGAAACATAGATCTTCTGACAACTGGCTGGAGGGCAGAGGACCCTGCTCTCTGTTCTCATGTGCTGAGTAATAGGACTTGGGCTCAAGGTAGAGAAGGTAGCTGAAGATAAATGCAGCTCCAAGCGTCCATCTCCAGCTCTTTCTTGTCTAAAGCTTGCATTTCTTCAACCTTCAGAGTAAAAGGGGTTGGTGTGGATAGCAATCATGATAAACCGAGAGAGCACTCTTCCTGCTGCTGGTCAAAATTCCAGGGAGTTTTTTGTTTTGCAGGAAATGGAGCCAGGGAGGGAGGTAGGGCCCAATCCCAGAAGTAGAAGGCCTTACAGGATGTGATGAGGAACTTGAGTCTCCTCAACTGTGTCCAGTAGTTCTTCTGTGCCCTCTGGCAGGAAGCTAAGAATGCTAGCTGCTCAGGAAAAGTACATGGGCCAAAGAATAAACACAGTAAAAGCCAGAGGTAGAAACAGGAGCCAGTCTAAGCCAGGAAAACATTAAAAAAATGTCAAACTATGAGGAGTGAAGTGTGATCTCTTCTTTCAGCCATAAGCCTTAGGTCACTTGCTATGGTTGGACCATTTGAACCCTCCAAACCTCATGTTGAAATTTGATCCCAGTGTTGCAGGTGGGGCCAGCGGGAGGTGTTTAGGTCACTGGGGTGGATGTCTCATGGATAGATTAATGCCCTCCCTTAAGGTGAGTGAGTTCTCACTCTTAGTTCCAATGAGAGCTGGTTGTTAAAAAAAGCCTTGCATGCCCCCCTAGCCTTCTCTCCCACCACGTGATCTCTGCACACTCCAGCTTCTGTTCACCCTCCACCACGAATGGAAGCAGCCAGAGGCCATCAGCACATGCCCGGTCTTCCAGCCAGCAGAATTGTGAGCCAAATAAACTCTTCTCTTTATAAATTACTCAGCCTCAGATGCTCCTTTATAGCAACACAAAACAGACTGAGACACCACTATTGTTAGGAAGAAGAGATTTGGTGACAAAGCAGATGCCTTCAAAGAACTTACAGTCTAATGAAGAAGAGAAGTACCTCTTCATGGAAATCAAAATGCATATGATAAGCACTGGGGTAAAGCAAGGTTTTCTATCCCAGGCTGCACTTAAGAATCACCTAGGAGCTTTTTTGAAAAAAAAGTCTGGGCTCTTTCCCTAAAATTGAATCCAAATCTTGAAGATGGAAAGCTAACTTAAAACAAAACAAAACAAAACTATCCAGGCGATTTTGATATACAGTGAGTGTTGGTATCACTGCAATAGAGAAAAGCCCAAGGTAATATGTGGACTGTTTCTCAACCTGGGGTGATCATAGCCGTTGGATAACCTGAAGAGCATCGCAAAAATAGACTCTGAAGCCTCATAAGAACCTAATAATTCAGAATTTCCAGAGAATGGAGACCTGGAATCTCTCTTTTGGAAAAGCTCCCAAGGTGGTTCACATGACCAGGCAGGTTTGGGAACCAGTCTACTAGAGCAGCTCTGTCCAGTAAAAATATAATGTGACTCACATGTATAATTATACAATCTCTAGTAGCCACATTTAAAAAGTAAAAAGAAACAAGTAAAGTTAATTTGAATGACGTATTTTATCTAACACAGTCTATCTGACATCATTTCAACATAGAATTAAAAAATTATTGCTTAGCTTTTTTATATTCTCATTTTTTTCATACTAGGTCTTTAAAATCTGATAGGAATTTGATACTTAGAACTCCAGACCACACTACCCACTTGCCAAGGGCAGGGCTCTCTGTTGTTCACCTCTGCATCCCCAGCATCTGGTGCCAGGCCTGACATGGCACAATTCCCCATGCTTTGGGACATGATCTGGGTCTCTACATTCCAAACTATGGGAACCATGGGAACAGAAGCATGGAGGGATAGAACAATGTAATAGGCTGGCGGGGGTGGGAGTGGGGCTGCGGCAGCAGAAAGGGAGAGGTAAGCAGTGCAGGAAAGGAGTTTGGAGAGGAAGACAGGGCTCAATCTTTTTTTTTTTTTTTTTTCCTTGTCTCATGGACCGGTTACCACCAGGTTTTAAGAGTAAGTAGGAAGGACTTCAAATTCACTCAATTTTTTTTTTCTGGATGTCAGCACTCCAAGACCTCTAGGACGTGTATTAGGTTTATTGGTTTATTGAGATACTGCCTCAGGCAGGTTGACTAAGTGGGCCTCTTTTTGTTGGGAACCAGAGCAATAATTAAGAGAGACTTTGCTGACATTAAGAATCTGCTGAGCATATGCTTTTTCAGTACAATTTCAACTTCAGATTTTGTCAAGGTCCTCAGAAGCATCACTGTGGGTGCATCAGACACATTTTAAGACAATAACACTGATTCGAATGATCCCATCTGTCAAAATCCTTTTACAGAAATCTGTCCTGCTTTTTTGGCACTAGCTGACTCACAAAGTTTTTCATGGATCAGTTGAGGGATTTGTCACTGGCTTGACATCAAGTTCAGAGACCAACTGTTCCAAGCCAGGGTCTGTGTGATATATTTTGTGATTTAGTGGGACATGGATCAATTAATGGCAGTGCTGGAACATCGCAGGAGAAGTTGAAGTCAGACCACAATCTACTGTGGAGCTAATGTTTGCTGATCAAAGGAGGACAGGCCTAGCTGTTTGCAAACAGAAATCTAGCCGGGAAGGCAAACCACAGAGTGGATAAAGCAACTGCTGCTACAGGTTTCCAAGCCATGCCTCCAGGACTTCAAGTTTTTCAGAAGTATCTAAGGGGAGCAAAGGGAAGCTTGAGTCCTTTCATTCCCAAGTCAAGCAGAGCATACCCATTTTCATCAGTTTTATCTTTTGGATTTCATCATAAGATTGCATTTTAAATTAATAAAAGGGCTCCACTGCACCCTGAAAAGCTTGAAAAAACATTGATGTAGACAATGGGTAGCACTATGGCTGAGTGTTATCAAGAATGTCCAACAAGCTGGGCACAGTGGCTCATGCCTGTAATCCCAGCACTTTGGGAGGCTGAGGCGGGTGGATCACGAGGTCAGGAGATCGAGACCATCCTGGCCAACATAGTGAAACTCTGTCTCTACTAAAATACAAAAATTAGCCAGGCGTGGTGGCGCGTGCCTGTAATCCCAGCTACTCAGGAGGCTGAGGCAGGAGAATTGCTTGAACCAGGGAGTTTCAGTGAACTAAGATCACGCCACAGCAGTCCAGTCTGGCGACAGAGCAAGACACAGTCTCCAAAAAAAAAAAAAAAAAGAATGTCCAACAAAATGTAACAGTAGAATCCTATTAAGACAATAGATTCTACAAATGGTAACTTCAGGCAACAAGGTAGGTAGCTGCGGGGTACTAAATCATTCATTAGTTCATGATTCATTCATTCATTCTACAAAAATATATTTTTCACTTGTTATGTCCTAGATACAATGCTAGGCACTGGGAATACAGCTGTGAAAAAGTAGATATGTTCCCTGCCCTCATGTTATTTATATTGTTGTAGGAAAGATAGACAATAAATGCGGCCACAATTAAATACAATTATTGTAGCTCAATAATTGTATTTAACCTCAAGAGGTTAGGAAATTAATGCAGTGGCAGAAATTATGAGGGAGGAGTGCTACTTTAGAAAAGGTGGTCAGGAAAGTCTTGGCTTAGGAGATGCCCTTAAGATGAAGCCTGAGGATATAAAGGAGCTAGCTATGCAAGAGGCTTGGGGATGAGCATTTCAGGCAGAGAACACAGTTGATGCAAATACCTGTGGCAGCATCTGGGATTATTACAGAAATTAAGAAGACTCTGTAAAGCCTGAATGAAAAGAGTTTTTGTAACATGATTTTGCAGCACAGTGAGGATCCAGGTCACACAAGGCCTTACAGAGTCCAAGGTATCCTCTAAATACAATGAGAGGCCTTTGCGAAGTTTCAGAAGAGAGACATGTTATCTCATTTACGCTTTTCAAAGGCTGATTCCACCAGCACATGGCACTAGTAGGAGAGCAAGGGCAAGCAGAGCCTTCTCGTAGAGACTGGTGGGCAGATTACCAAGCCAGAGACTCTAAACGAGGAACACGACAGGACTCCTGTTCTTAGAGCCAAGACCTAAGGCAAAACACAAGGAAAATAATCCCTACTACTTCACAGCGTGGGCTCTCCCTTATGAACTGGGAGGGTGTGATGCCTATGGTCAAGTATGGCTGAAGCCACAACAGGGCTCCCTCCAGGGCCTAATTGATCCCACAGCCTGGAGCAGGGTTGAGCTGAAAAGTCAATGGGATCTGCAGGACAAGGAAGAGACCAGCCCAGCACTTGGAAGGAAGAGCTGCAACAGGATTTAATCCACCTTGAGAGTGACTTCATGCTGGCAGCCAACACAGACTCACATCAAATCCACTTTCCCCACAAATTGCATCCACATTTTTGCAATTTGGTGTGTATTGATTTTCTCCGAGGGACCTCTTGTTGAGTTATTTAACTGCCACCATTGCAAAGGGCAGCAAGTAATTTTCAGTGCAGAGCCACTTCTTCTGAAGTCTGCACTGAAACTCCAATCCAGTCCAGTCCTATAATTTCATTTCAGAGCACTCCTGGATGATTATATTACCCAAATCTGGACATTATTGCAGAATGAATGGTTTGACCATGAAGACAGAGAGAGCATTAGACCTTCTTTTCCATCTCAAAATAATATATCAAGCAGGAGTAATGTAACAATGTAGAGGTATTCAGAACTGAGGTATTCTTCATGCTTCTACTTTGAAGCAAAGGTGGACTGGCTAGTGTCTTCAGTATTTACAATAGAATTGGTTCCCCTAATTTTATGTTGATATTCCTCAAATCCTTTGACATTTATCACAGGGGTCATGAGATTAGAATCATATCTGAAGCTGTGTTTATTCTAGTGCTATTTTTGAAGACAATGATCGTTTCTCCTGTCCCTGCTCCGTATATAAAATTCCAACCACCAGAGGATCTATAGGGATTCCTTTTCTCCTCCTTTTAAAACTGATAATTAGAATATTTAAAAAAAAAGTCATACATGCATTTTTTTTTTTTTAATTTTGGCTGCAAGGAAGCTGAATGGTAGGTAGGTAGATAGTTTTTTTGAAGCTCAACCACAACAATCACATAACCCTTACAATTTGTGTGTGCCTACATATATACATATATATATATATATATATATATATACCTGTTATGAATTTTCTATTTTTGTTTTCTGTTTCTAGTCACATATTTCTGGTTTCAGTGACCTCACTTTGTTTTATCACTATTTTACTGTAAATGTTTTAAGTCATCTAAATTTTTTGGGAAAGCATTAAAAAGTAAAAAAAAAAATCATTAAACTTTAATGCTTTCATTCTTAAAATATTATGCCAGGTGTTGTAGGAGCATAGGTTCTGTATAAGAATCCACAGGGTCTCGGTGAGAAGCATAGTGAAAGTGGAGGTTTTGACATAAGGAAAGAAATCTGATTTCTGAAATATGGTGAGGAAAATGGAACTGCAGTACAGATTGGACAGAGGATGGCAGTTTCACATTGACAAGATGTTTGGGAGGCAGGTGGTATGGTGATATGTATCATCATATTATAGGCCTTTGGAAAATGTATTATCCTCTGGGAAGAAGCATTTTGATATGATAAAAGAGAACTTTGTCTCCGGAGTGAGAGAACCTGGTTCAGAACCTCAGCTGTGTCCCTCATGAACTGTGTGTACATTTTTGGCAAGTTATAAGTCATCATAGAGTCTCAGTTTCCTTTCTGTCAAATAGGGATAATGGTAGATATTGCCTACTAGTGTTACTAGGGGTTATTAAATGAGTTAATACATATAAAATGATTACAGCAATGAATGGTACATAGTAAGCATTTAATAAATGTTAACTACTATAGCTGTAGTTATTTTCTTGCTAGGCACTTTTACCTGTGCTGTCTTAATTTTCTCTCACAATTCTACAAGGTGGACTGCCCTTTAAATGAGGCTCCCAGAAGTTGAGTCCCAGAGTCAAGAAGCTTGCATTTCAGCAAGAGCTATTTGACTCCAAAGCCCATTGTGCTCTCACTCTGCTATGCTTACCACATCCTACAAGATGGAGTAAATAGAAAATCTCTTATTGATGCATATCACAAACAGGATAGAAGCAAGTTACAGTAATGACTCATTCATTCAAAAATTATCTGCGAATGCTTTGCTTTGGACCAGTCACATGGCAAGCAAAGATAAGGCTCCTTGCAGGCTCTGCCCTCAGATGGCTTCCAAATGGGAAAGATAAACCAAATTAGAGTATAGTGTGAAAAATGCCAGATCACAATATATACAATGACATAAGGCAATAAAGAGAAAGGACATGTAATCCAACTTACTGGAGTCAGAATCTGGAAGAATAAATGAATGAATGAATGAATGAAGAGCCTACAGGCTCTTCATTAAAGAAGTTGTGTTGTACAATAAGACAGCAGAGTAATACTTACTTTGAGAATCTCCACGCCCACACCATTATCACTCCTCCCCCAACCCTGTCCCTAAGCCCAGAGAAGCAAACCTAACTGCTAAGAGAAATGTTACCTGATAGTTTACCAATTTCAGTTTAAACTGAATTCAGTTTAAACCTAGATGGTTTCTAAGAGCCCAACTGTTAAATTATCTGGAATTTTAGAAGCCTATTGAATAGCCATTGTTAAAAATTAAATTATATGAAACAACACTTAAATAAATTATACTGAAAACAAAGGTAATTAATACTCCAAATGCATCACCTCCTGGTTACTTCACTACCTATGCACTTGAAGTTATTTACATCTGTTGTAAATAGGTAGCCAGTAGAAATGCTTTATAATGGTGTGCTACTATTGCATATCTCTTCCCAGCTCCATATTTAGTGACATCCTTGTTGGTAGCATGGAATCAGCCATGGTGGGATTATTTATACCACAGAAATAAGCAAATGCTACAAATAAGGACTTTGGTTTTTCTCACAGAGCTGGTTGTTAAATTTTACCAGCACACCATTGGCTATCAGTCATTCCACCTGCTCTTTCCTGCAGTTGCCCTCCCTCCCTCTCTGCTTTATTTAACTTTCATTTTCTTTCATTCTTCTTCAATTTGTTCATACCATGCCACTTCAGCTCCCTTACTGGTCTACACTTTTATATTTATATTTCATCCCTCTTGTGTTTCTGATTACTTCTCTTCCTTGTTCACCTAGAGCTTCTTTTGGCCAAGAATGTGTTTTGCCTAGTCCTGGTTGTCATGTGTGTCCCTGTGAAGAGACCACCAAACAGGCTTTGTGTGAGCAATAAAGCTTTTTAATCACCTGGGTGCAGGTGGGCTGAGTCAGAAAAGAGAGTCAGCAAGGAAGATAGGGGTGGGGCAGTTTTATAGGATTTCGGTGGGTAGTGGAAAATTACAATCAAAGTGGGTTTTTCTCTTGCAGGCAGGGCAGGGGTCACAAGGTGTTCAGTGAGGGAGCTTCTGAGCCAGGAGAAGGAATTTCACAAGGTTAATTGCTCAGTTAAGGTGGGGCAGGAACAAATCACAATGGTGGAATGTCATCAGTTAAGGCAGGAACCGGCCATTTTCACTTCTTTTGTGATTCTTCACTTGCTTCAGGCCATCTGGATGTAGTCATGCAGGTCACAGGGGATGTGATGGCTTAGCTTGGGCTCGGAGGCTTGACACTGGTACTTGATTTGCCTGGTACTTAAATCAAAAGTAAGTCTCTCATCACCTCACTGACTGGGTTTGGAGTGACTGATTTGACAATATTGGCCAACACCAACAAAAGATTCTCTGCTCAGCAAGAGAGAAGAGGAGCCTAGCCTTGAACCTGGGCCCCAGGTCCCTGTCTTTGTTGTTTCCTGTTACCAGGGTACTCTCCGTGGTATTATTCCATGCTTTTTAATGCCTTCCTGTATCATTTAATTGGATTGCAGCACACTAAACATTTGAAAAGAATTCAAGGACAAGCTGCCAGGCTCTCTTAATGAACATTCTGTGTGTCACTGTTTGCCAAGAAAGTCATTCATTGGATAAAAATCAGGAGATTGAATGAAGAAATAAAATTTGTTTTTCTTTCCCTCTCTTCACAATATAATTGCTTGGTTCCCCAAGTAATATTTTTGTCTCCCTCTAGTCATGTGTGGACTGTTTTTCCAGCAGAGAAGATTAACTGGATGGCTCTCCATAAATATCATATTTAATTTAATGCCATTATATTAGATCATGTAGTAAAGAATACAAGATCCTACTGGATTCCATTGTAAGCTAGATTTCCACAAATTTGTTTCCTTAAACACGCAGATGGCATACGTTCTGTCCATACAATCCATATTGGTTCATGTGCCCAACACAATGATATGGAACTTGGATCCTAGAGGGAAATGGTATGTCACAATTTACATACTGCACATAGTAAGAGTAGAGAAAAAGGAACATAGGCTCCCAAGCTCTTTCTTTAGTACATAACAAAGCTGAGACCAAGAGAGGCTGTCATATCAAAGATAGCAATGAGATTCTTTGAAAGTAAATTTTAATAGTAATACCTTTGGCTTTATAGGACCCAATATAGTGTGCTTTCCTAAAAATTTGCATCAAAGTATTTGCACGTGTCCTCCTATTATTACATGCATCTCAGGGTATAATAGCATGTATTTACTCTGGATTCTCAACTAGTCTATGGATGCTTTAATCATAAGGGGCTGTGTTAGTTACTCACTGATTTCCTACCACCCATCACAGAGCATAGCACAAAATAGAGGCTTTGTATACTCATATATCTAGTAAGCACTTGATAAATGTGTATTGAATGAATAGATGCTTATCTGTTTCCCAGAAAGAGACATGGGTAAATGAAGCTAGAGGTACACAAACATTGATCTATAGAATTATTTTTCTCTCTCAGCTAAAAAACAACAAGGAGGAGTGAGAGTTACAATTACAAATGAAGCTTATGATACTATTTTTGGTGGTTGGGTTTTGCAAGGGAGCAATATCTTGGACTCCATGATTTGTCTGGTTTTGCTATTAAGTACATATATGTTTCAGATTGTTATAGCTTCCTGATGAATTGACCTTTTCTTTAATTATTATTATAAGTTGCTTGCTTTACCTCTAGTAATATTGTTTGTCTTGAAATCTATTGTGTCAGGTATTAATATAGTCACAACATATTTTGTTTAGTGTTTGCATTGTATAGCTTTTCATTCTTTCAATTTCAACTTCTCTGTGTTTTTGTATTTCAAGGGCATTATGTGTAAATGATATATAGTTAAGTCTTGTCCCACTATCCAGTCAGACAATCTTTGCTTTTTACATGGTATTTAGTCTATTTACATTTAATGTAATTAAGATAGAGTTGGATTTAAATCTTTCATCTTGGTATTTGTTTTTTATTGTTCTGTTTCTTCTTTGTTCCTCTATCCTTTTAAGTTGGACTTCCTTTTGGTTACTCAGGTACTCTTTCAGTATTTAATTTTTATCTCTGTTGACTTTGCCTATGCTTTTTGTGTTAATTTTTAGAGCTTGCTATATAAATTATGTATGCACCTTGACTTACATCCTACCTTCAAATAAAATTGTTACTTATATTGTGCTACTTTGTGAATAATGTAATAACTCAGTAATTGTATAATTCTATTAACCCCATCCCTTTTTCTTTGTGATCTATTGTCATGTATTTTACTTCTACATGTGTTATATACCCTTCTATATGCTATAATTGTTTTTGATTTAAGATGTCAATAGTCCTTTAAGAAAGTATTTTTAATGTCTTCTGTCTGGTATTGTTTCCCCTTAGCCTGAATAACTTAACTTTAGCATTTCTTGTAGTGTGATTCTGCTGGCAACAAATTGTCTCCATTTTAATTTACCTGAATATTTAGTTACTTTCCTTTATTTTTGAAAAATATTTTTACTGAAATAGAGAATTTTCGATTGACAGGCCTTTTCATCTTTAAGTACCTTAAAGTACTTCCATTGCCTTCTGCTCTCCCATGATTCTCTTGAGAAGTCTTCTGTTTATCTTACTATGTTTCCCACTTATGTTGTGTGTCCGTGTGTGTGTGTGTGTGTGTGTGTGTGTGTGTGTGTGTGTCCTGCTGCTTTTAATATTTTCCATTACCTGGATTTTTAGGAATTTAGCTATGATGTGCCTAGGAGTGGTTTCTTTGTTTTTATTCTACTTGGAATTCACTGAACTTCTTGGCATACACGTTTTAAAAAATCAAATTTGGAAAATGCTTCAGCTAATAAGTCATCAAAATAATTCATCAAAATAATTTTCTGTCCCATTATCTCTCTCCTCTCATTCTGAAATTATAATTACACATAAGAGTGACTGCTCAATATTGTCATACAGGTCACTGAGGCTCTGTTTACTATTTTTTCCAAATTTTATTGTCTCTGAGTTTTAGATATCTATTGGCCTCTACTCATGTTCACTAATGCTTTATTCTATTATGCCCATTCTACTGTTAATCCCATCCAATAATTTTTAAATTTTTTCAGATATTACCATTTTCAATTTTAGAATTCATATTTGCTTCCTTGTTACAGGTTTCAAATCTCTTCTGAAATTCCCCATTTCTTTGCTGATTGTGTCCAACTTTTTCTGAGGATTTAAAAAATATTTATCATAGTTAAAGTTCTAATTTGTGAATTCTCATTTTTTTGTCATCTCTAAGTCAATTGAATTCTCATTTTTTATCATCTGTAAGCCAATTTTCTTTGCTTGAGTTTTCTCTTAACTATAAGTCAAATTCTACTTTTTTGCATATCTTATTATCTTTCGTTGTATGAGGGACGTTTTGCTCAGCAAAATTCTGGGACAAGAAAACTACTTGATAGAAATGGCACTGTTTGTATTTGGGGATCATCCAGATTTAAACCTGAAATGTCAGCACGAATTTATCAAAAGTCTGCCTGGTTCTTTCTCACACATGCAAAAACTGACCTTCTCTATCAACTCCCTGACCCTATCTTAAACAACTGGTCTTAGATATGAAAATATAATTTTGTTATTAATCTTTATAGTCCTTCCTCTATTCTTTAGTAACCAGCACAGTGCTCTGTGCAAATTAATGTTTGTTACATTTCAATTTAAATCTATAAACCCATGTATGCACTTTTATGTATGTATCTGGATATCAATGCATGTAGTAGGAGGCAGAGTGCTTCAGTAGAAAGAGTATTAACCTAATGACCTTGATTTGAAACTGACTGAAAAATCTTTCTGCCTCTGTCATCTTGAGGAAGTGATTTGGCTTATCTAAACTTCAGTTGCTGTTGCCTCCTTTTTCTCAAGAAACAAATGGATGGGAAAATGTGTGTTGCATACTTAGCACAGTACCTGGTGCATGAAGATTTTTAAAATATTAAAAGGTCAGGTCAAATCTGAGTTAAGAAAAAAGTTGAAAAAATGTAAATTAGTGTGATACCATTATTCCCAGCAAAAATCAGTCCAATCACCAAGGAGGAACTGTATGAGAGCTCAGAGTCCATCTGGATAAGGAATCGGTCTGAGACAGGTGCGTCTTGGACAATTTCAAGGATTATAATAGTGGCATACAGTAGAAGCATAAATAAAGTGGGCTTTTGCAGAGACTAAGGAGGCTTATGTTAAGATTAGAGTTCTCTAGTTTCATGGAAAGAGCACTGGATTGGAACACAGGAGAGAGAACTCTTTTGTGTCTTCATTTCTTACCCAGAAAATTGTGATACTAATACTACTAATCTTACAAGGTTGAGGTGAGTATTAAATGGGATCCTGCTTATAAAGACCATGCCTTGAGAGTATCATGTGTATTAAATACTCATAATATAGTCATTATAATTAGCAATTATAATTTACTTAACTTCCCTAAAAAGATAATAATAATTCGCACTTGTAAAATTTTCATAAGTAACATGAAATTATGTTTGAGAAAGTACTTTTGTAATCTGAAAAGCACTACATAATTGCAGGGTTATTATTTTTAGTTAGGCAAATGTCTGAACATTCACAAGTTCTATCACAGAAGAAGTCAAGCTCTGTGAGGACAGAAAATATATCTTTCTTATTTACCACTATCCAATAGTAGATAGTCAGCAAATACTTTCTGATCAATAAATGGATCACTTCAGCTGCAGTTTCTGCTTACCTGGGCCTTTCTCAGAGTTATAATGCTTTGGAAGTTTCCCTAGTTTATTCTGGCAGAATCCTGATGCTTAGTTTGGTGCAGAAATTACATCGAAATAAATTAGATGAACCATAGACCTTCTTGGATAGAGTCTGGAGAGTTCAAGACATAATTTTCCATTGGAAAGTCCAATACGAAAGCATGCTTCCATACAGCCCTCTCAGATATTTCAGCCATTGATTTTGTAGATTTTCCAAAATCTTGCAAAATGAACAAATTTCCTAGACGGCTTTTCCAAATTCTTTAGATATAAATAGTCCCTACCATACTAGGTAAGGGCAGAGTGATTATCTTTCTTTCTTATAAAAATGCTATTTAAGGCCGGGCGCAGTGGCTCACGCCTGTAATGCCAGCACTGTGGGAGGCCAAGGTGGGTGGATCACAGGGTCAGGGGTTTGAGACCAGCCTGGCCAACATGGTGAAACCCCGTCTCTACTGAAAATACAAAAATTAGCTGGGTGTGGTGGCGGGTGCCTATAGTCCCAGCTACCTGGGAGGCTGAGGCAGGAGAATTGCTTGAACCCAGGAGGCGGAGGTTGCAGTGAGCTGAGATAGTGCCACTGCACTCCAGCCTGGGTGACAGAGCAAAACTCCGTCTCAAAAAAAAAAAAAAAAGAAATGCTATTTAAATTGTTTAAATATATTCGCATTTTCATGGTTTAAAACAATCAACTATATAAAATAGCTTTTAATGAAATATAGTAGTCCCTTCTCCCCATTTGTTCCCCCAGCTTTTGTTCCTCTAATGCAACAAATTTTTACTCTCTTAACTGTTTTTTTCTTTCTGGTGTATATTTTTATGTTCCATAATATAATAATAATGTGGTTAATAATATGCTTATATTCTTATATCTTGGTTTAACACTTTTGAAACTATCTATTTATATCTTGCCCTGGTGACTGCAGATGTAAATTTCTTCTATCACTATCCCCACTTCTCCAATCTTTTCAATACGTTTATTTCAAGTTATGTCAATAGTCAGTTTTACCTTACTATGACTGTGTTGCAACTGTGATTTACCTTAGAGCCCCAGTTTGTATGTCATAATTATATTTCCTTTCTCTTACAGATTTTCATTTTTCCTAGAATTAATATTTGCATCCTTTTTTTCAATTTCCTTAACTTTCTGTGTCTACTAGTATATTTTTTTCAAATACTTCAACAGATCTCTTGAGTACTTAGTAATTCTTCCAATTACCTCACACAGTTCCAAACTTTCCTTTAGCTCCTTTTGTTTCTGATGATCTCACTCCTGCAGTCCCATATTCTGCTCCTGTATGGACTCATTGATTACCAGGCTTGGTGCATTGCTGTTTGGGAATTTCCCATGACCATTCTTCCATACTGATTTTCTGTTTCCTTGGTTCTACATATTCCTATTTCTTGGTTTACTGTGCTCATTTTGCAGAAGTACATACTAACTTATTGCTCTATGATTTTGTGTGCAGGAGGTACAATTTTTGATCCTTGAATGTTTGAAAATGTCTTTATTCTACCTTTATCCTTGATTAATCATTTGGCTGAATGCAGACTTTGGGTTGTAAATCATTTTCTCTAAATAGTGTTTCATTGATTCCTAGCATTTAGTATTGCTTTACAAAGATTAGTGTCATTCTCTTTCCATATTCTTTGTGAGCAGTTTTGGTCTGGTTGGTTGGTTCATTTTTGTTTGGTTTGCTTGTTTGTTTATTTTGTTTTTGTCAGGCCTCTGAGCCCAAGCCAAGCCGTGGCATCCCCTGTGACTTGCACGTATACATCCAGATGGCCTGAAGTAACTGAAGATCCACAAAAGAAGTAAAAATAACCTTAACTGATGACATTCCACCATTGTGATTTGTTTCTGCCCCACCCTAACTGATCAATGTACTTTGTAATCTCCGCCACCCTTAAGAAGGTTCTTTATAATTTCCCCCACCCTTAAGGAGGTTCTTTGTAATTCTCCCCACCCTTGAGAATGTACTTTGTGAGATCCAACCCTGCCCACAAAACATTGCTCTTAACTTCATCGCCTATCCCAAAACCTGTAAGAACTAATGATAATCCACCACACTTTGCTGACTCTCTTTTCGGACTCAGCCCACCTGCACCCAGGTGAAATAAACATCTATGTGCTCACACAAAGCCTGTTTGGTGGTCTCTCCACATGGACGTGCATGAAAGTTTTATCTTTTTCTCTCTAAGTTTTTATGTTCAACTTCTCATTCTTGTTATTCTGAAATTTCACAGTAATATGCTTCATTGTAAGCCTTTTCCCCTAAGTCACTGTATTGGATTCTCAAGGGGTACTTTTAATTTAGAAACTTATGTCTGTAGTTCCAGGCAATTTTCTACATAATTTTGCAGAAAACTTTCGCCTCTATGTCTTTTCTCTCTTCTTTTCCCTTCACCTTCCCCCACCGAAAGCTCCATTTAGTCAGATCTTTGTTTCCTGAGTTGATTCTCTAATTTAAAATCTTTTCTCTCCTCTTGCCATTCCTTTGCCTTTGGTGTTTCTTCCTGTGATGATTTCTAAACTTTATCTTCAAACCCTTTTAAATATATTTGTTTAAAATTTAAGTGATCATGCTTTTCATTTATAGAACTCATTTTTCTCTAATTGTTCCTTTTTTGTTTCTTTTTCTTTTTTTTTGAGACAGAGTCTTGCTCTGTCATCCAGGCTGGAGTGCAGTGGCATGATCTTGGCTCACTGCAACTTCTGCCTCCTGGGTTCAAGCAATTCTCGTGCCTCAGCCTCCCAGATTGCTGGGACTACAGGGATGCACCATCACACCCGGCTAATTTTTTTTGTATTTTTGGTAGAGATGAGATTTCACTATGTTGGCCAGGCTGGTCACAAACTCCAGGCCTCAAGTAATCCACCTGCCTTGGCCTCCCGAAGTGCTGGGATTACAGGTGTGAGCCACCGCACCTGGCCTAATTGTTCCCTTTTTATGGATGTGGTATCTTTTCATCCATGCATGTGATAATGGTCCTTTTAAAATTATGCCTTTTCTATGTTCCCTGCAATATCTTTGCTTTCGCTGGATGTATTTTCTGCTTATTGTAGACTGAGAATTTCTTACTGGAAACCTTCCTCAATGTCAGCTGCTCATTGGCTGTTTGTTCATATACAAGTGCAAGGCAATTATGAGCTGATTAGAAACTATGCAAGTGGGGTTGGGATGGGAGCAGAGAGAAGCTTATCAACAAATAGACTTCACTCTTGTCAGCTTTTTTACTGTATGTAATATCCTTTTCTCCCTCCTTCCAAATATTTGTATCTTTTGGTATTTTCTCTGGAACCAATCTATTTCTCTGTAGAAGAGTCCTTAATCTGTCGCTTGAGAAGAGGCAGGAGTCTAGTTTATGGTATTCTGATAACAGACAGGGAAGGGGGGTGTATTCGTCAGGGTTCTCTAGAGGGACAGGACTAATAGAATAGATATATATATGAAAGGGAGTTTATTAAGAAGAATTGGCTCACATGATCACAAGGTGAAGTCCCACAATAGGCTATCTGAAAGTTGAGGAGCAAGAAAGCCAGTCTGAGTCTCAAAACCTCAAAATAGGGAATCTGACAGTGCAGCCTTTAGTCTGTGGCCAAAGGCCTACAAGCCCCTGGCAAATCACTGGTGTAAGTCCAAGCGTTCAAAAGCCGAAGAACTTGGAGTCTGATATTCAAGGGCAAGAAACCTCCAGCACCAGAGAAAGATGAAGGCCGGAAGACTCAGCCAATCTAGTCCTTTCACATTCTTCTGCCTGCTTTATTCTAGCTTCACTGGCAGCTGATTAGATAGTGTCCATCCAGAATGAGGGTGGGTCTGCCTCTCCCAGTCTACTGACTCAAATGTTAATCTCCTTTGGCAACAGCTCACAGACACACCCAGGAACAATACTTTGCATCCTTCAATCCAATCAAGTTGATTCTCAATGTTAACCATCACAAGTCCACCCCTTATCAACTTGAACCCATAAACATCTCCTTTGCTCCTCCTTTGTCTCCACCATGATTGTGAGGCCTCCCCAGCCCTGTGGAACTGTGAGTCCATTAAACCCCTCTTTCTTTATAAATTACCCAGTCTCAGGTATGTCTTTATTAGCAGTGTGAGAACAAACTAATACAGAGGTTTAGGGTTGAGGTCTTATATTTTAGGACCCAAATTTCACTTAACTCTTCTATTTCTAGCAGGGCTTCTTCCCTTGCTCTTCACTGTGCCTTGTGTCTGCAAGTTTAGGGTTTCTGGAGCTACCAAATAGACCTTTGGTCTCCTAAAGGGTGAGAGAGTACTGGTCACCTGACTGCATGGGGAAGGGGAGGGGCTCTGGCTGTCTAACTGTTCTGTATATAGTCTTAGCCAGACCTCTTTTCAGCCTGAGACCTCATCCTTGCCTTTGTTGGAATCTAGTGCCTCCAAATACCAGCTCTTTCTGAGATGCACCGGGGTTAATGGGCTCTTTTTTTTTTGAGATGGAGTCTCGCTCTGTCGCCCAGGCTGGAGTGCAGTGGCACGATCTCAGCTCACTGCAACCTCCACCACCTGGGTTCAAGCGATTCTCCTGCCTCAGCCTCCCAAGTAGCTGGGATTATAGGCACCCACCATCATGCCCAGCTATTTTTTATATTTTTACTAGAGACGGGGTTTCGCCATGTTGGCCAGGATGGTCTCGAACTCCTGGCCTTAAGTGATCCGCCCGCCTCAGCCACCCAAAGTGCTGGGATTACAGGCATGAGCCACCACGCCCGGCCGAATGGGCTCTTTTCTCTTTGATACCCCCTCTGTAGGCAATCAGCGTTCAGCTTCTGCCCTGTTAGCCCATTTCTAATTCATCTTCCAAATATTTGATAATGTTCTATCTATCAGCCACTCTCTCCTCCCCTGTTCACTTTCTCTGTATGTGTTTGTTTCTTTATAAATACTATGGCTGTCACTTTGGGCTGGTGTTTTGGGAGGGAATGAAGATAAATGCATCCATATTTGGTCCATTAAGTTTACCTGAAAGCCTCTACCAGAGTGATTTTTTAAAACAGAGATTTGACTCTTGTATCATTCCTTACTCTAGATCTTTCAAAGCTTGCTTATAGCTTTCAGCATGAGATGAATATGGTTTAGCTTCCCAAACAAAAAAAAAACTTGTCGTTCAGCCCCCTGCCAGACTCCCAAGATTCATCAGCAACTGCCTGCATATACGAGACTGGTGGGATTATCTGCCTCCCTCTTTTGTGGAATTGCTCCTTTGTGCATCCCTCATAGCAGCATGGCCACAGGCACATCTGTCCTTTTTCCTAAAATTGGCTTTGTTCCCCAGTCACTACTGACTTATGCTGAGCCAGTTAATCCCCTCCTTAGACATTTCGAGAACTGAAAAATCCAGAGGATATGGCAGCTGTGCTCTAGGTGATACAGATCTGAGAAGCAGAGAAAGCTTGTCTGGAGAGGTGGAAAGACATTGTTGGGGGTAGTCTTGGTTCTCTGGTTCTAGTTCATTCTTGAAACCTATCTGTGTTACTCCCTTCGATGCTTGGGTCTCTGGGTGTCCCTATAGTGAATTCCCTGCTTAGAACAGTGTGCAACACATAGCTACTAAATGTGGTTTCTTCTAGTTCCTGGAAAAAGACATTACCTTTCATGGCCACACGTCTTCCCAATGTCTTTTCTGCTTGACTGTCCTGCTCCCTCTCTTTTTTTTCCTGTTGGATGGCTATGCCAAAACTTAGCTCAAGGACCTGCTCTAGGAAGCTTTCCCTGACTTTCCAGCCTGCTTGCACATCCTTTTTTGAGCATCTTTCTATCATAGCATTTATCACCAAAATTGGCCAAAATTGTAATTTACTCTTTTGATTGTGAGCTCTTCAATAAGAGAAGCTATAATTACTTTGATTTTGTTTCCTGAATATATACAAAAAAAGAAAAACTAAGTTTATCAAGGCAACATGCTGTCTGCTTCCAATTGATAGCAGTATAACAATGTCTAATAGACATTTTTTTCAAATAAGATTCTTATTCTTTCTTATTTGAGAGTTAACCCTAAAAACTGATTTTGGTATAATTTACACTGATTTTTTTCTAATATTGTAATAAAACTAAAGAACAATATATGCAAAACAAACAAACAAAAAAATTGACCCTTAATCTTTGTAGAATAAAGTAGTCATATGAACTTAGAAAAGAAACGTCTTAACCCTCAGGTCAAGGAATTTAATTTCTTCTCTACCAGTGCAGAAACCATATCAGAATAGAAACTGGTAGCTTATTGGTAAACATGTTTAGAATGAGACAGTAAATATCCTTTGTCTTTTTTCTTTAAAAATAAACCTGGGATTCAAAGTTACAAAGAAAGGAAATAAAAAAGAAAATTAACCCTTCTTGGGAAGCAGTTATGCTCCAGTCACCATGCTAAGTGCTACAATATATTTTTGATGTTGAACTTTCATAAATCCTGTTGACAGGTGGCTTAATCCAGATGTTATTGCCTGCAAAGAAACTGAGATTCCAGAGGTAAAATAACTTGTTAAAGTCATGCAGCTAGTTAGAATCAGAACATAACCTAAAGCCATGTCATGTTTTTAAGAATTGACCTTTCCAACTATTACATCGTTTAAAGAAAACTTCTCTGTTGTAAGTTAAAACTGGATGATAGGTATATGAGTTATTCATAGTCATTTCAGAGTTTTCTCTATTTTCTCAGTTTTCTATAATGAGCATATATTACTTTTACAATAAAAATTACTTTTTTAAAAAAGCAATTCCCTTAGATCAATAGAAGTGCCGGGGGATTATATTCCTTTGAACAGCTAAGTGTTAATTATAAGGCTCCTTATTTTGTATTAATGTGCAGTAGGAGATAGGATTCAGGCAATTTTCCCAAATCCTTACTATTAGTTATCATACAAGCCTCGTAGATAACTTATTTCTCAGCACAGGAATCTATTCTTTTGTGATTCCAATTTCATGCCCTCAAAGCCCTCTAGGGGCACCCTGTACCCCACCCACTGCATCTAGGGGCTTTGATGTGGAGTTACAGGGGGGTCTGTGGCCACCTACCATGTCCAGGGGACTCTTTCATCCCTCTGAGTTTTGTCACCCGCAAATAGGGGTCAAGATACTCACCTGGAAGGATTTGAGAGAATCGGATGAGGGAATTATAGGCCCTGGCACATGGTGGTGACTCCACATAGCAGCAGCAGCACAGTGGTGGCAGTGGCGAGAGGTGGTCCAGCAAAGAACTTGGGAGCTGGTGTCTGGGTCAGGGCACCGGCAGGCTTATCTCAACTTGCCCACCTGTCATGTGACTTTGGACAGGTTACTTCCCTGTGCCTCAGCTTCCTCTTCTGTAAAATGAAGATAAGTATTTATAGAGTTGATATGAGGAGTAAAGGAATTAATTCAAATGCAGCATTAAGAACAGAGGCTGGCACTAGTTTGCTGAGACTCGAAGTAATAGTAATGAGGTCATTTTGGGGGGCCATTATCACAGGGACTATTGTAAGAACTTCAAAATCATTTCTTCATTCAACAGGCAGGCTCTTTTCTATGCGCCGAAGAAATAGTGGAAAATCAAGGCTTACATTTTAGTGGGGGAGGACGATACTAAGAGAATGAACAATTAAATAAGTCAGATGTTGTAGCCACTCTTCAGAGACAGCATTGACTCCCACCCCAGAGCTGGCTCAGATGTTGAAACTGATGATGCCACATAACCACCAACAGGATATAAAAGGTTTGTTACTAACATAATAGGCCTTTCTGGAAAGAGCAGGCAGGCTTCCCAAGCCAATCTGAAAATGGGATTAGAAGGAGGGTATGTGAGACTAGTTTAGAGTTTTTATGGTAGCTAGGCATTAGGGATGGGTTGAGAGTTCTTGTGTGCAGGTGGGGGCTTATGTGGTTTGAGACTCTACTGACGCCAAAGCAGGACACACGAGAGCTTGCTTATCAGCTTTCCCAGATGTGGGGCAGAAGCAGGGGGACAAGCTGTGAGGCTTAAAAGCTGCCAGAAGTCACACATGAAAAAAAGGAATCAGATTCTTTATTGCACCAGACATTTCAGACAGTTGTGAGCTCTGTTTTTAAAACACGGAATAATGTGGGAAAGAGTATCTGAAATATGTAGGGGGAGGTGGCATTTCTATTTTATTTTATTTATTTCTATTTTAGCTAGCATGGTCAGAGAAGGCATCTCTGAAGAGGTGGCATTGGAGTTGAGATTTGAGTGATAAGATCACAAACTATTCAGAAGGGAGTGGCGTGCAAAAGCCAGCAAGGACAGAGTGAGCACAGCAGATTCCAGTACAAGAAAAACAAGACCAATAAGGTAATCGAATGATGTGAGATCATTGAGAATCAGTAAAGGCTAAAGGTGATGATGATGATGATGATGATGATGACGACAACGACAATTAAGTTTAGCACAAGGATTCAGATTGCTATATTCAAACATCTGAAGTGCTGTTTTATGAAAGAAAGCAATCTAGTTCTGTTTGGATCCCATGGGAATCAAGATATAAAGGAGTCAAATTTCTTGTGCTCAATATAAGAAAGGCCTTTCAGACTGTGAAAACACCCTTAAGAGGTAATGAGCAACGTGTCACTGGTGGTGTGACAACAGAGGCTGGGTGCTACTAGAGAGAGGATTCCAGCTGGGGGGCTGAGAAAGCTGAACCAAGTGGCCTTTAAGGCCTTTAAGTTGCTTTCAGCTCTTAGAGTCGATGTTTCAGAGAAGACCCTGGAAGAGGTGTATAGGAAACTGCAGAAAACAATGTGGAGAATGTGCCCCCTTAGCTGTAGTGGCTATCATTGTTACCTACACTGGCTAATGCTAACTTCCTTTTATGCACAGGTTTCTGAATAGCTATGGGGATTTCTGTTTAAACACTGCCGATTGAAGCTGAGTTCTAGTTAGTGGCTTATTTGCATGTCAAATTAGGGTTCAAAGAAATGCAAATATGAAAGCTTATTTGCTCAGATAAATTTGCTTTAGTAACCTGGAGGAAACAGTAGGGTCTAAAACACTCAGACTGAAATTAATGAAACAACTTTGGCCTATCAGCTTTTCTTTTCCCCCACCTTTCACCTACTCTCTTCCCCATTTCAATTCACTTATTTTCAGCAAACATTTATGATACCTACTGTGTGGAAGACACTGTGCATGGCAGTAAACAGAAGCAGTTAGGTCAGCACCTTTGCTCTCAGGTAGAGAAAACAGAAATAATGAAGAAAAAGAAAAGGATAATGAATGCAAACTACGAAGTGCATTAATAGAGATACAAATAAACAATAAGAGAATTAAACAAGTCTGAGAAAGGAGGATTGTTTGAGCTCAGGAGTCTGAAGCTGCAATGAGGTATGATTGCACCACTGTACTCCAGCCTGGGCAACAGAGCAAGACCCTGCCTCAAAAAAAATAAATAAATAAATAAAAAGAAAGGAAAGAAGGAAACAAGCAAATAAGTAAATGGCACCTACTGTATGCCTGACCCTGTGCTAGAGATTTTGAAAACAAAGCTTAACTTTAACTGGCTAGAAAAATCAAAATAATAATATATCAAACTTGTATTTGTTTCCCTTCCTCCTCCACATCCTCAACCTTTGACTAACACTCTGAACTTTTTGAGCAAGAACCTATTTCTCATTTATCTTGCTATTACCAAAGCATGACACTTAGTAGGGTTCTTGATAAATCATTCTTGAGCAGACGGATGAATAAATGACTAGCTTACTTGCAGCTGGACTTGAAGTGGGGGTAGCATTTCAATAGAGCCAGGTGATGGGGAAAGCATTCTGGTAAAAACTATTCAATGAACAAGGCTCAGATGTGAGGAAATAGAAGTTGGCGTTCAAGGAGCCCAACCAGTTCAAGATGGTGCTTTATAAGCTAGCTGCATGAAAGGAGCAGCAGGAGTGGAAAGAAGGACTCCATGAGGGACTTGGAAAATTATGATGAACTTCATTCTGTAGGAAATTGGCAGGCGTTAGAAGTTTCTGAGCAATCAGATGACAAGATCAGAGTAATATGGTTTTATTGTTCTCAACGTGTCATTGTATAAGCAGTAGCTGCCACTACTGATTAAATGACTATCAAGTGAGAGATCAAGCTTTAGAAAAATTTGAAATGGCAGCTGACTTATGGGGGTGTAAATACACATTCCTATACTAGTGAATTTCGAGATTCAAGAAAGTCTCCGGTCTTATGTCTTCATCATATCTTCTGTATAATCTTCTTTTCCTTCTTTGCTATCATTTCCTGTGTCTCATCTCCTTTCGAGACTCTTACATGTTAATGTGTACATTAGTATGTACTTACTTAATTGTCCTCTGGCAAAAGCCTAACCTCCTATTATATCTAGTGAAAAATCTTCCTCATTGGTCCCAATATCATGTCTGCAGTGTTTTTTCTGAAGTTTCACCTCTCACCTTCACTTAAAACACAGTCTCTTCTATGTGCCCCCACTCCAGTCTGTTTAAGCAGTCCCACTTTAATGCATTTATTTATTTATATGAATTAATCCTATCTTACATCCTTTTTGGAGGAAGAAAGAGTCTATACACGTGAAATGACTTACGTATTCAACTCTAAGTCCTAGCATTTCGCTACAGGCCTTGGCTTGTCTTGCTCAGGGAATCTTCAATGGGTAAATGGTTGATTAGAAGGAAGGTAGGAGTGGAGGAAAAGAGAGAAAATTGTACTTTCTGGTAGGAAATCTATTATAGAAAAACCCAGCCCATCATTTTAGTTAGCATGAAGACCTGTTAGGCTGTAAATGCCAGGAGGGCAAGGGCCATGTCCTTATCATGTCTGTATCCTTGGTACTTGGCTCAAGGCTTGGCACAAGAAAGATGATCCATGAATATTTGTTGAAGGAAAGAACAAAGGAGCAATGAATGGTAACTGGAAACCCCTTTTAGACATCCATCAGGCATGGTAGCCCAGGGGCAGACACCTCCCAGCAGCAATCTGGTTGACTATCCAGTTCTTTTCACCTTCTGGAAGAAGAGGACTATTGAGATGACTTTCAGGATTCAGCTGATAGAAATAAATACCTTGCTTCAAATATTTGTTGCTCTGAGGTTTGAACAGCGACCATATTCTTGGTTCTGAAGAATCAGCTGATACAAATAAATACCTTGCTTCAAATATTATGTGTTGCTCTGAGGTTTCAACACCAACTGTATTCTTGGTTCTGGAGAAGTGAAGAGGACAGCCATGATGGTAATAAGCTAATAAAGCTCCCCTCTCTTCCTAAATAAATCAAATTATTCCAGCATCACTGCACTATAATTTTTTACCCTTTTAATATTTCAGGGGAAGTCTAAATTGCCTTTTATAATCAGTGTCTAAGTGTCTGCACATATTGCTACAGGGCTTGATTTTTAACCCAGGACTAACAAGGCATTTTTTTGGTTTGGCTTTAGCTGTTTTTTGCTTTGCCTTTCTTTTCTTTTCTTTTCTTTTCTTTTTTCTTTCTTTCTTTGACAGAATAATTGCAGCATGGTTGAGTGGTTTTCTAGGTGCCTAAAGAGAGATATACCTTCGTTTCCGTTCTTCCACGGGAAAATTTTACAGCAATATGCTTCAAAATAACTGAGAGTAACTAGACAATGGTAATAAAAGCAAATAATTATATGTCACTCATGATGTGCTGAGCATTGTTTTAAATACCTTGTACATAATTACTCATTAATCCTTAGAACAACACTATAAGAAAAATACTATTATCAAACCTATTTGATAAATGAGGAAACAGAGGCATAGACAGGTGAGGTTCCTTGCCCAAGGTGACAGGGCTAATAAGGGGAGAGGCTAGCATTTGAACCTAGACAGTCTGGCCCCAGCCTACCCTTTGTCTATACTCTTTGGTATTGCCAGCACTTTGACATGACTTTTGTATTCTCAAAAACATCCCCCCAGAGGCACTAACTTCATATTAATATACTGGGTCTGCTTCTGTCCAAAATATTTGGATGTTGAAATTATTCCTTTACTTAGTATATCTTTGTTGAATATTAGCTATGTGCCTGACACTGTTTTAGGCTCTAGATACATATCAGTGAACAAAAGGCAAAGTCACTGATTTCATGAAGCTTACATTCTAGTTTAGGAAGAAAGACAATAAACAAAAACAATATCAAAAGCAAAAGTAACATGACTAAACATCAGAGAAATCCAAATTAAAACCAAAATGAGATATCAACTCACACCTGTTAAACGGACTATTATCAAAAAGATGAAACATAAGTGTTGGGCATGGAAAAAAGGGAACCCTTGTATACTGTTGGTGGGAATGCAAATTAGTACAGTCATTATGGAAAAAAGTATGAAGGTTCCTTAAAAGATTACAAATTGAACTACCATATGACCCAGCAATCCTGCTACTGGGTTTGTAGCCAAAAGAATTGAAATCAGTATTTTAAAAAGATGTCTGCACTTCTATGTTTATCATAGCAGTATTCACAATAGCCAAAAGATGGAATTAACATAGGTGTCTATGAAGGGATGAATGAATAAAGAAAACATATAGAACGGAAAACTATTCAGCATTAAAAAAGAAGGAAATTCTGTCATTTGTGACAACTTGGTTGAACCTGAGACATTATGGTAAGTGAAATAAGCCAGGCACAGAAAGACAAACACACATGATCTCACTTACATGTGGAACCTAAAAAAAGTGGAACTTTTAGAAGCAGAGAGTGAAATGGTGGTCACCAGGGGTTGCAGGACAGGGGCTGGGAAGAGAGTGTTGGAGAGATATTGGTCAAAGAACACAAAATTTCAGCAAAACAGGAGTAATAAATTCAAGAGTTCTACTGCACAATATGGTAGCTGTAGTTAATAACAACATACACTTGAAAATCGCCAAGGGAGTAGATCTTAAGTGTTCTCACCATAAATAAAATGATAAGTATGTGAGGTTATGCCAATGTTAAATAATTTCATTTGGCAGTTCCACAATGTATACATATTTCAAAACATCATGTTGTGTAGCATAAATATACGCAATTTTTATTTGTCAATTAAATCACTAAATCTTAACAAAAAAGCAAATGCAGCTCTATCTCTCCTATCTTTTTCTTTCTTGGGTTTCCTCCATCAAACATATTGATTATTAACTAATAATAAGATTGATGGCAGAAAACCAAGAAAGAAAAAAGATATGAATGAGAGGTGGAGGCTCTGTGCCAGGCTTATTATATAAGTACTGTTAATGAGGTTGGGAGGGACCTCATTAAGGAAATGACATCTGAGTAGGACTTGAAGTTAGGAATGAAGTGGGATGTGCAGAATCTAGGGGAAGGGCTTGTCAGGCAAGAGGCAGCAGCAAGTGTGAAGGTCTAGGGCAGAGGCTGCTGGGGGATTGAGGGATAGCAAGGATGCTAACACGGCAGAAGTGAAGTGAGAGCTCAATGGATCATGTGATTGAAAAAAAAAAAGTGGATATTTTGTATTCAGACGAACCAGTGCCTAAATTTGTGCTCAGCCACTGGTTGTATCATTTTGACAAATTATGTATGCCTTTGAGCTTCAGTTTTCTCCTATACAACATGGGAATAACAATTTGTGTCAGGAGCAAATCAGAAAATATAATAAGCCTGGCACAGAAGTGAGAGGCACAGCCCTGGTCTATCCTGGCTCTGCAGGTGTTCCCAGACAGTCCCCAGAGAGGCTCCATTTGCACCATCCACGGAAATGGGTCATGCCCCAGTAGGCAGGAGCCTGTGGGCTCCTTCCTCTCATGATGCCTGTCTGAATGCCATGCCCCCAAACCTAAACCGGGAATCTCATTCACCTCCTCATTTGCTTTTAACAGTCCACAGCAAAAGCTGGGGTCCAGGCAATGCTTCCAGTGAGATTGTGCCAGTAGCTGCCAAATGAAGAACAACTTGAGCTGTTACAAACAAACAAAGCAAAACAGTTTCCAAGATGTAGGCCTTTTGTTTGTGTGAGCAGGGACATGAGCAAACACCGGCATGTTTCAGTTTAAAATAGCTTCTGGAGTAATTGCTGGTACTGTGTTCCCTAATTACATAATGTCTGTCTTCTTTGGCAGTGACCTTGGTATTGTCTTTGGTGTGAAAAACATTAAGTGTGAAACTCCACAAACTTAGCCTGCTTAACTATTTTGTGTACCTACTTCCTAGAGCCTTCCACCCAGATTTCTTTTCTTTGTTCTCTTCCTTTCTGGCTATAAATATTTATTAATAGGTTTATAAAGTGTTCAGACAAACTGGTGGGTGACAGATCTTTTTTTCCACAAATATTTCTTAAACAACAATTCTGTGCCTAGTAGGATGCTAGATCCTGGGGATGAAGAGAGCTGTATAAAACTCTCTGCTCTCAAGAAAGTTGGGTGAGACAGACATATAAGAAATTATAATGTATTAAGGTATAAGATATAGCTCAGTGCTAAAGAGTGTGACCTTTGGAATTAGATACACTGAGTTTGAATTCCCAGTTTCATCTTATTTTCTGACATTGGGCAAATTACTTACATTCTCTAGGGCTTAGTTTCACCATCTTTAAAATGGAGGACATAGTTTCTATCTCCTAGTGTGGTTGTATATGGTGAGATAGATGATAGTTTTAAAACACTTGACACTGTATCTGGCAGAGTAAGTGCTTTAAAAAATCAGTGATTGTTATTATCACTAGTGTTGTGATAGAGGTGGGAACGTAGAGCCGTGAGTGACCAATTTCTGGGGTATAGCAACTCACGGGATTTGCTGTGTAGGCTGGATTCAGATGGTAAATGTGACTTTGCCAGATGGTCAAAGAGAGGAGAGGCATTATAAATATATGGAAAAGAAAGTAGAGGGATGAAGATGGAAATGTGTCATTTGTTCATTCAGCAATATTTAAGGAGCTTCCACTATGTGCTAGGCATTGTACTACATTTTAGGGATATAGAGTGAACAAGAAAAGGTCTTGCCCTCATGGAGCTTACATTCCTCAGGGGGAAACAGACAGTAAACTAGAAAGAAAAAAACAAGGGAAATTAATAAACAAAGAAAATTGGTTGCAATTATGCAATTATGTCTACAAAAAAAGCAGTGTGATATAAAATAGAATAATTGAGCATTTATGGAGGAGATATTATTTTAGGTATGATTAAGTTGAGCCCTGAAGGATAGAATAAGGCAGTCATGTAAAGAGCTGAGCTGATGAAGAGCATTTCATGCAAACTCAAAGGCCCAGGGGTGGGAAACAGCTTGTTGGGTGTAATCAGCAGCAAGAAGATCATGTGGTTGCAACGTCACAAGCCAGAAGACTGAGGGGCCTTAGTTGGGTGAGGGAGGTTGACAGAAGCTTGTTTTTGTTTTGTTTTGTTATTTTTCATAGAAATATGGGAAGCAACAGGATAGGTTTCATGCATGGAAGGGGCACAATTAGATTTCTATCTATTTGGTGGTTCCACTGTGTAGAACATAGATTTTAGAGGGTCTAGAGTATAAGTAGAGGACCAGTTAGGGACTATTGCAATCATCCAGTCAAGAGATGGTCTTTGGTTTGCTTTTAAGAGGGGAGACATGAGAGCATGTCTGCTGAGCAATGGAGGTGGTCTAATAGAGAGGGAGACTGATGATGCAAGAGAAAGAAGTTATTTCAAAAAAGTTAATGAAGTTAAAGTGGAGATAGGAGCTAGGAGCGGTGGCTCATGCCTGTAATCCCAGCTACTTGGGAGGCTGAGGCAGGAGCATTGCTTGAGTTCGGGAGTTCGAGGATGCAGTGAGCCGTGACCACATCACTGCATTCTAGCCTGGGTGACAGAGCGAGACCCCGAGTCTAAAAAATGAAATCAAACACAGTGGAGATAGATTTGTGAAGTTTAACAAATAGAGCTTGATAAGAGATTAAATTGGGGCAGAAAGAATGTGAAAAAAGGAAATCAAGGATGACCCCAAGGTGGTTTTCTTAAGCAAGAAGATGCTATTTATGGAGATGAGAAAGAGTGGGAGAGGAACTGGTGTGGGTGGGGTATAAAGAGCTTCCCTAAAGGCATATTAAATTAGAGACCCCAATTAGAAAGCCAAATAATATTTAGAGCTCGGGGTCTGTGCAAGAAATATAAACTTGGGAATCATTAGCATTTCTATGGTACTTAAGCCATGGTGAGCTCACTCAAGGAGAACGTATAGATAGAGAAGACATAAGCTCCCAGAGCCCAAGGGTTCCAAAGAAGAGGAGGAGCCAGCCAAGAACACAGAGAAGGAGAGGCCAGTGAAGTAAGATGGAGGCCAGGAGGAATGAAACGCTGTGTGGCAAGAGAAGAGAGCACTCCAAGAAGGAGGCGGTGGTCAGCTCTGGAATCTGGCTGAGAGGTAAAGTGCAGGCAGAGAGAGCTCCATTGGATTTGGCAACATGGAAGGCACTGGTGTCCTTGGGAGAGGCGTGGAAGCCAGCTTGGGATGGGTTAAAAATGTGAATGTGGAAGGGAACTGCAGTTGTGTGTGTAGGGCTTTATTTGTTTTAAAATTTGGCAGCTACAAAGGCAAACTATTGTCATTTGTGAATTATGAAGGTGGGTATATGAATGTTTGTCTCTTTACATTTCTGTATCTTCTTGCTTTTACTTCCTGAAAAACAAAAAGCAATGGAAGTACTTTACTTCCATCTGAAAATAATAAGAGCAAATTATTAGAGAAATTTGCCCGAAAAGTTGCAGAGATGTGGAGCATAGGTGGAGTTAATGTGGGGTTGAGGAAAGGTTTTCGTCTGTCATTTGTTTTAAATGGGAACTATAACGACACAGTTGGTGGATGATGGATGATGTGGAAGTGAGAGATTATGTGTAAAGAACTGAAGTCCTTAGCAAGGGAGCAGAGAGGAGACACAGAGGGTAAGTGGTGGGGTTTGCCTTTGATAGGGGTAGAAATGAGTGAGCATGGGAGCAGGAGGAAAGGCAGTGGGCACAGCTACAGAGAGTTGAGGATGGTTTTATAGAATTGGTGCAGAAAGGTGACAGAATGCTGGGGGCACTTCTATTTTCCATTGAGTGTGAGGTAAGGTCATCAGCTAATAGGGTGAGGGAGTGAGCAGGGCATATGAGAGGTGAGAGGAAAATGAAGAAGGTGTGAGTGGTTGTCTCCAAGAATGGGGAAGTTAGCTTGCTGAGGAAGCAGTGAGTGGAGTTGGGACTAAAATATATGTTTCTAGCTCCTGATCTAGAATGGCTTCTTTTCAGCCACATTCTTCTCGTTTACCTCCGAACTTCACTGAGTTCCAAGCATGGTTCTTTGACATCATAGGTCCACAATGCATGTTTGCTGAGTGCATTGCATAGGGGGTGGCAGTGCTGTTTTAAGAAAATAAAGAGAGGAAAGTGAAACTTATTGAGCATGTGTTATAGGCTAGGCACTATGCCAGGCACTTCATGTACAATATCTTTTGAGGAGGTTTTAGCGATGAGAAAGCTGAGGATCAGAAAATCTAAATAATTTGTCCACAACCACTCAGTGTGTGTATGTATAATATGTATATATGTGTATGTGTGTTTTGTACATGTATGTACATATAGAAATGTATTTTGTATATGTATATACACATACAAATATATTTTATATATGTATAGGCATATATAAATGTATTTTATATATGTATATGCATATATAAATGTATTTTATATATGTACATCATATATTAATGCATTTTATATATGTATGTGCATATATAAATGTTTTATAAGTATATATAAATGTGTTTTATATATGTGTATGCTTATATAAATGCACATATACATATATAAATATTCATACACACACATTTGTACTCTAATAAGATTCTCTCCCTATCTCAAGGAATTTAGAATCTGGCAGTCTAGCCAAGGACATAAGCTTCACATACAAATGAATAGAGCAGACATCAGCAAACTACAGCCTATGGGCCAAATCCATCCCACTACCTGCCTGTTTTTTGTAAATAAAGTTTTATTGGAACCCAGCCATGCCCATTGGTTTAGACATTGTCTGTGGCTACTTTTCCACTACAACAGAGTTTAGTGGTTGCAACAGAGTCTGTATGTCTTGCAAAGCCTAACATATTTATCTGGCCACTTTATAGAAAAAGATTGCCAAGCCATGGGATAAAGGACAAGGAAGAAGGTGCTGCTATTGAGAAGATGGAGCTAATTATCTTGGTAGTGATCAAACTGCTTCCTTGAAGCAGTGACATTTGAATTCCCTGTTGACAGATTCATTTTTTGATTCAACAGATACTTTTTAGCGTCTCTTGTGTGTCAGGCACTATTCTAGGTGTTCGAGTTCAACAGTTAACAACATAGATAGAAGCCTCTGCCCTCATCAGGCATTCATTCATGTAGAGGGGTGGAATTTTGAGAGATGGAAATGGAAAAGAAAATCATTGCTGTTGAAGCAGATCTGGAGCCAAGGCACAAAGGTTGGAATGTTCGGGGAAAGTTGCAGAGATAGGAAATAGTCCAGGTTACCCCCGGGATGTGAGGAGGGCAGTAATGAAGGATCAGACTGTAATGTAGTGATTTTCAAAGTGTGGTCCTCAGACCATCCTCGGAATTATGCAGGGAGCTGGTTAAAAACACATAGTCATGGGCCACAGTCCATACCTACTTATTCCATATCTCTGGGGATAGGACTCAGGAATCTACATATTCAACAAGTTCTTCAGATGATTCTAACGCTCACTGTATTTTTGAATCATTGTGGTAGAAATTTATTGGAATCAGATTTAAAAGTATGGGGAGGGGGTATCAGCAAAAGGTAGGAGGCAGGGAAAAGGAGTGAAGGCCCTCCCATTTAAGACAATTTAGAACCGACCACGGAAATTCAGACTCCTCTAGACATATCTGAGATACTAACTGATGAGGTCATTTGTAAATGCGGAAGCCCATTTACGAAAGGAACTGTGGAGGCTTCCTAGGAGAAAGTGCAACCTAAAAGACAGAAGAAGGGAGAAAGATGTGGTTGATGCAGACCTCTACTTGTCAGAGGGAAAGGATGATGCTGAGTGCATTTCCAGGGGAGCAATCAGATTCGACTCACAGTTCAGGCCTTCACACTCCATTTTCAAGTCAAGACTGATAGAGCCAATTCACCAAACATGTAAACCCTGTTATTGTCTTTGAGAGGCCTGTAGTTAAGATAGTTGAGGTGGAAATATAGAACGTGCACTGAAATGGTGAAAATAAAAAGCAAAATTAATGATACAGGTAATTAGGTAAGGCCGGACTCCCTGGAATAACCTTGTGATTAAGTGGGACATCACCCTTTATGGCAAAGAGAGAGGAGTGAATACAACTATCCAAGCAAGAGAAACCTCTTGAGCAGAGCTCCATAATCAGAGACGGCACATGCATGCAGTAATGAGTGGACCAATCTGGCTGGAATAGGAAATTCATGTAGGGTCGTAATAGGTGATAAGTCTGGAAAGATTGCTTAGGGCCAGATGGTGAAGGGCCTTGAACGGTAAGCTAAGGACTTTGGCGTTTATCCTGGAGGCAGTGGGGAGCCATTACGTTTTTTAGCAGTGGGGCTACATGATTAGAGCTGTACTTCAGGGAAATTAAACCAGTGGAAGGATGGAAGACAGATTGTAGATGAGAGGGACTGGAGGTGAGGAGACTAATTAGGAGCTTGTTGAAAAGGCCTGGGTGAGAAATAATGAGGACCTGAAAAAGGTAGAAGCAGTGGGAATGGAGAGGAGAGGGAATGGTGGGTTCAGAGAAAAACAGATCAAATCTACGGGAGTTGGCAATTGAATAGAGAAATGGAGTGCTTCAAGGAGATGAGTCCAAGACAACTCTGAAGTTTCCCACAGGGATAACTACAGAGCCGTTGGAGCCATTGATAGAAACTGGGAGGACAGAGATGGGTAAGTGGAAAAAGGCATGGAGCCTGTTGGTTTGAAATGTGAGAGGGACAGCTGAGCAGGCTGTTAAGTGGCAGGAACTCTGGGGAGGTCAATGATGGCACCATGGGCATGCACAGGAGTTCCCTTCCCTTGTGATCAAATGCAAGGCCACATGGACCATTGATTGGCCCCAGCCCAGTGTTCAGATGTTTTCATTCTTTCTCCCTGCATAGGCACAGAGTCATACACTGATTCAGTAAATTTATGCTGGAAACAAAATCTTGGGTTGCATGTGTGTATAGTGACTAGTTTTGTTCACTTCACCCCATGTGGTAAAACTCATGCCAGAAGTCCAGGAAATATGAAGGAAAAAGAAATACTCTGATAACGCAGTGTGAATCTACCAGGGAAGAATAAGCAAAACTGATCAGGAAACTGATTTCTTCTCCAAGTTTCATTTTTAAATACTTAAAAAACCAGATGATCAGTTCTTCAATGGAGACTATAAATAAAGCTCCATATTGATGTTTAAAAAAAAAGTTCCCCTTTCCTCCTTTTTTCTTCTTTTATTTCTTAACAATGCAACGCCAAATCAAATCATTTCAACAGCCCTGCTGGGCTCAGGAGGACTCTGGCACCGCAAGAAGGGCTTCCCCTAAGTATAAGTTACCAAGCCAAAAATGCAGTGAAAACCCTCTCTTCAGCAAAGGCAGAATGAAAAAATGAAATATTGTTCTAAAATTTATTTTTTAGAGTGGAAGAGGAAGTTGCTTAAGAAATTAAGAAGTTAGCCAGGTGCAGTGGCTCATGCCTGTAATCTTAACACTTTGGGAGGCTGAGGCGGGGCAGATTGCTTGAGCCCAGAAGTTCCATACCAGCCTGGGCAGAATGAGAAAGCCCCTCACTACAAAAAATACAAAAATTTGTCAGGTGTGGTGGCATGCACCTGTAGTCTCAGCTACGTGGGAGGCTGAGGTGGAAGGTTTGCCTGAGCCCAGGAGGCTGAGGCTGCAGTGAGCCGTGATTGAGCCACTGCACTCCAGCCTGGAGGACAGAGTGAGACCCTGTCTCAAGAAAAAGAAGAGAGAAATTAAGCAGTTATTTCAAAGCTATAACTTTGAAATCAGGACACTAATTAGTCAAGAATTCTAGAAGTACAAGAATTATAGAAGGAAATCAGAAGTATGTGAATATTTATAACCTGCTAAGCACTTACATCCCCATCCCATCTTCCATAAGGACACCCACTGCCTTCTCTCACTACCTCACCTCCTCTGGGAGAATCCTTTTGTTCTGGAGGTGCAATATAGTGTCATCACATGCTCAAGAATTTTGAAGGCAAGTACTCACAGATTTGTATCCTGGTTCTGAGCTTTATTAACTATGACTTAAGGCAAATCTCTTAATTTCCTTGGGACTCAATATTCTCATCTGTTGCTGTGAAAATTAAATTAGCTAATGAGTAAAAAGCACCCCACAGTGTGGCTGCGATGTAATGGATACTTTTTAAAGAAAAAGAAACTTTTTATTTTAGAATAGTTTTCTATTTAGTGAAAAATTGCAAAGATTATACAGAGAGATCCCATATAAGCCACACTCAGTTTCCCCTATTACTACTTCATTTTAGTAAGGTACTTTTTTTTTTACAACAAACCAATATTGATACATGATTATTAACTATTGCCCATACCTTATCAGATTTCCTTGGTTTTTACCTAATGTCCTGTTCCTGTCTCAGGATCCTGTCCAGAGTACCACAGTGCATTTCATCATCATGTCTTCTTAAGTTCCTCTTGGCTGTGAGGTTCTCACCCTTGTTTTTAATGGCCTTAACAATTTAAAGGAGTTCTGCTGAGGCATTTTGTGGCATATCACTCAAATGGGATGTCTGATATTTTTATCATGATTAAATTGGGGTTATAGATTTTTGGAAATAAGACCACAAAAGCAAAGGACAATGTTCATGACTTATCACTGTTGATGTTGAGCTTGATCACCTGGCTAAGGTAGTGTTTGTCCGGCTTCTCCACTCAAAAGTAACTATGTTCACCCCCTTTCCATATGGTACAATTTTGGAAGAAAGTCACAATGCCCAGCCCACACTTAAGGAGTATGAAGTTTTGCTCTACTTCTTTAGTGTTTACATAAATTATTTGAAATTCTTCTGCACAGGAGAGTTATATATTCTCCCTCATTCATTTATGTATCCAATCATTTTTGTATATCAGTATGGACTCAAGGATATTTATTTTATACTTTGTGTTATAATCTAATACTGTTTTCTTTTATTCTCAAATTGTTGCAATATTTACCACTGGAAGCTCTTTAAATGGGCTTCTGTGTCCCTTTGACATACCGCATCATTGGGTGTGTGTGTGCATGTGTGTGTTTTACTTTGCTTTGTTTTAGCACTTCCTTACTTTCTGGCACTTTAGGATGCCCCAGGCTTATCTTGTGTATTGCCTGTCCCAGACCTAGAATTAGCTATTTCTCCAAAGAATCCTGGTTCCCTTTATTGAAATGGAAAAATTTTAATGTCACTTTTCCCTTTACTTTAAGGACACAGAATGAAGCTGCTAAGAATTCATTATGGAGTTTTAAACAACATTAACAGTATAGACAATTTGATGTCTCACAGTAAGCAAATATTTCTTTTAATGCCTCCTGTCTGCCAGATGTAGTGCAGGTTTCCAGAGATATTAAGATGACATGGGACACATTTTGAGAGCTTCCTGTGCATAAAGGTACTATATGCACTATTCTAAGCATTTCACATTAACTCATTTAACCCTTGCAACAATCCGGTGAAGACCCTGTTATTCTCATTTATGGACAGCTACGATAAGACCCCCCTGCAACCCAGGGCTTCACTGTTTTCACTGACTAAATACATAAGTAGAGGGTACTAAGAGCAGAAAAGAGAGGCACCCAATTCAGCTGTAAGATTAGGGAGGACTTCCTGGAAAAAGTGACACCTGAGCGAAATCCCAGTGGATGAAAAGGAATTATGAGCAAAATGTGTACAGTAGTGTTTCAGGATGAAGAAAGACCTTGAGTAAATACACCAAGAAGTAGAATCCCCTACCAGGTGAGGAGAAGAGTAAGCAGTGAAATATTGCCCGGCAGGGCATGAGTAGAGTTGAGGTTGAGAAGGAAGACAAGAGACTAAGTCTTAGAGTATGTGTCTATTCTGCTGGATAGCTTGGACCTTGGACAGGGAAAGAGGGAGTGATATGGTAAGATCTGAGTTATGGGCAGACATGTTGACACAGTGCAGATGACAGATGGGAAGTGTGAAATGAGGCAATAAGACTAGTTAGGAGGGAACAGCAAAGGTCCAGGGGAGATTTTTAGGGTCCCAAACTAAGGCAGAGGCAGTTCAAATGAGAGAAAGTCATGTGTGTTAACTGGCAGGACCTAGAGACTGAGAAACAACAAGGCTACTGCATTTCTTTTCTTTCTTAAATGTATAGTCTGAGCCCCAGGGCAATGAAAGAGAAGGGATTTAAGGGGAATGCTCTAAGGAGAAGATCATGAGTTTGGCTACAGTACCCTATGATGTGAATCTTGGGAACTTGAGTTTGCCAATAAAGCAGGAAAGATAGAAGAACCTTACCCTTTATTGTAGCAGCATTCATCTGCAAGAGGAAGCAAATACAATTTGGAGTCAAGCCAACCAAAGTTGAATTCTGCCTCCTCTACTTAGCTGGGATATCTGGCCTGGGTCTCTGAGTCTTAGTTTCCTCATTTGTAAGGTGGAGAGATACTAGTACCTACCTCTGGAGATTGTTAAAAGGAGAAGAGTTAATGTACATAATGCTTTGGACACATAACTATGTGCTATCTATTATTACTGGTTTCAAATTTCCAGGGTTTTATTTTTTGATTTCTCATTAATTTCATTTAATCTCTCAGCTATCTTTTAAGGGTAAATTTCAGCATTCCTTCACAGCAAGAAACTTCAGCACAGAGAAGTGAAAGAATTTGCTCCAAATTAAAGAGCTCCCAGAATACATTTTTGAACTTCCAGACCAGAATCTTTCCACTACATTTCCATCAGACAGACTTGTTAAATATGAAGATAGTCCTTGATCAATGACCTTGTTTATTCATTTAACAAATATTTATTTCAAGTACTAGTTTATGGCAAACATTATTATATGTGATAAGGATATGGAAAGAACCAAATAGACACAGCACCCATCTCATGGACTTAACATTCTATTCGGAGAGATATACAAACAAACAAATAAATAAGGGTAAAATATGATATTGGAGATGGTTAAGTGCTGTGAAAGAAAGTTAAACTGGAATATGCCTAACATCAACATATTCTTTATTCGCCCTGCTTCAACTCTTTTGCCAAGATTAAATTTTCCACAATTGACTGTCCTACTATAGTGGGTTTCTTTCTTTCTTTCTTTTTTTTTTTTTTTTTTTTGAGACGGACTCTTGCTGTGTCGCCCAGGCTGGAGTGCAGTGGCCAATCTCGGCTCACTACAAGCTCCGCCTCCCAGGTTCACGCCATTCTCCTGCCTCAGCCTCCTGAGTAGCTGGGACTGCAGGCGCCCGCCACCACACCGGCTAATTTTTTGTATTTTTCAGTAGAGACGGGGTTTCACCGTGTTAGCCAGGATGGTCTCGATCTCCTGACCTCGTGATCCACTGGCCTCGGCCTCCCAAAGTGCTGGGATTTCAGGCGTGAGCCACCGCGACCGGCCGGTTTCTTTCATTTTAAGACCTGAGTCCTCTCCGGTACTGCGGAGACAGAAGAACAGTGAGGATAGGAAGTTAGGCAGAATAGTATACATATAGGCGATGATCTTTTCTAAAAACACTAACAAAAGTTCTGCCTCAATTTGGGGCCCCAGTACTTTAAAAATCATTTATAGTTGTTGGTTTGGGCAAAGAGAGGAGGCTAAAATTCAATTATAAGGAATAAAGTAGGCAGGGGTAAACAAGAAGTTGAAAGATAACGAATTCCACCATTAAAAGCCTTTGAAATGTTTTGGTGCCTTTTCTCCAGCTGTTTTCTTTGTCATGTAATGAGAACTAATTTTATACAAAAATTTTCAAACTGCTTTTACGAAGCCTTATAACAAAAGCACATTCTCATGTCACCAAAAACTCTCTTCAAATGTAATTTGTTGCGTGAATATAGCATCCCTTACTTTACCATTCTACTATTGTTCAATGTTCAGATGTTTCCAATCCTTGGTATATCTGGCATCTGTTGCTGTGTGTCTATCTAATCCTTTGGGTGTATCATCCAAGGCTTAAATGGCTTAAAACACTTATCTATTATTTCTAGTGCCTCTATTGGGTGTTTAGGTGGGTTCTCCTGACTTAACCTGGGCTCACTCAGGCAGGTGCTTTCAGCTGGAGGCTCAGCTGAGCTGAAAGGTCCAAGATGGCCGCATTCACCTGTCTGCTAATTAGTGCTGACTACACGGGGGTACCTCCATTCTCCCTGATGGCTTTCATCCTCCAGTAAGTTAGACTGGCCTTCTGGCCTTCTTACAAGGAGGTCTCAGGACAGCGTTTCAAGAAAGGTGAGAAAGCTCTAAGACCTCTTGACGTCTAGGCTCTATAACTAGTAAAATGTCACTTCTACAACATCCTTTTGTTCAAAACAAGTCACAAGACCAGTCCAAAATCAAGGTATTAGAAACAGACTCTACTTCAGGACAGCAAGAGCATCAAAGTCACATTACAAAGGGGAATACCAGTCAGGATGTAAGGGATTTGTAGCTGTTAATCTACCTTATGCTGCAATGAACATTTTTATAAATTGAGCTTTATGTTTTAGAGACTAAAGCATTATTTCCTTTCAATTAACCCTAGAATTTGATTTGCCAGGTAAAAAGCTCCAGATACAAAGGCTCTTGCTTTCCAGAATTCACCTCCATGACCACTCACTACCTCTGCTTTCTTAGGCAAAGGAAATTCAGTCAGTCAGCCCCAAATAAAAAAGTTACTTCTAATGTTCTATTATAACCAAAGGCAGATTTTTTTTTCTAAAGGAATAAAGCAGCTCAGTGGCAAAGAGCTGGATTTTTCTATGTCTGATTAAGAATAACATTCTCCTTGGCATAAACGAAATCTTGAGTGAGGAGCTGGAGGCAGACCAGATTTCAGATCCATCTACCAAACAAATCCCTTGTGATTTGAATGTATGAATTTGTTGAGATTTCCTGATGGCTAACAATATGTCTTCATGTTAGCAATGACAAAAAAACTAATAGCTGGGCACGGTATTTAAAAAAGACCTCTTTTTCCTGTAATTGAATTCTTCAATCTTGCACTGCATTCATTGAGAAGAACTCTTGGGATGAATTTCTTTGAAATCTCTGCTACTGATTTTATTTTCTGATATGTTGACCTTCTTCATCTCGAGACATGTTGCAAGATTGGCAGGCTTCGTTTTCTGTGCATCAGATACAGTGAAGCTGTGTTAAGGCTCCTGCCGTTGAAATTTATTCAGTGTGGATGCTAATGAAGAATTTTAAAACGATCTAGTCTGCTTTATTCCTCTTTTTTTCTCATTTCTCTGAAAGGGGGAGATATAGCATCTCTTTAGCAAAGAGAACTGAAAAATAATGACCACATCTCTCATTCAGAACTTAGTCTGGTTTTCAGCTCACTCTGTTCTATTTTGCGAAGCAAACTATAAATCTCTATCAAGGATGATGGTGATTATTATTTTTATCATTAGAGATGGAGTGGATAAATATCTTACTGGTAATTGCCCTAAATGTCCTCCACATACATCAATTTATACAATGTATATATTTACCATTTATCAGGTATCTGCAATGTGAAAAACACCAAGCTAGGCATGGGCAATGCAGATATGAATTAGTTACGCCTCCTTCCTTCAAAGCAGCTCACAATCAAGTATAGTAGGTGGACGTGAACAAAATTGACCCAGGTAAGCATAACAAATTCAAAATTGCACCTGGAAAAGGACTTGAATTAAGAATGAATGAAAGAGGAAATATCTTTCATGCAGCCAGTAATCATAAGGAGAAATTCATTGTTTATTCAATACATTGCCCTTAAGTTAGACTAGAAGCACCTGCAAGGCCTTCATTTCAGTAACACATTTGCCAAAACTTTTAACTTCCTTGCCTCCCTGGTTTTTCATCACATGCATCTAGAAAAACACCAGTCCGGGACAAACTCAACCAATCTTTTCCATGGTGTTTATACCTGCACGGCAGGGTCACTTCGGTGGGCAGAATGGCATGACCACCAATCTCAAAAGTATCCACATTCCACCCAGTTCCTCTGTTCAGCTTATTTTCTCACTCTGTGCGATAAATATATCTAATTTTGTCCATTTTCCTCAAACTCCCAGCTCCTCCCCAACCTCCCTCCCTTACCTCTCTGACTCTCAGCAAATGATTTTGCCTCTTACTTCACATGCAAAGTGAATCTGTGAAATGAGAAATCTTTCACCTTCCTCCATTAAACATATAAACGTGGCTGGGTGCAGTGGCTCACGCCTGTAATCCTGGCACTTTGGGAGGCCGAGGCAGGCGGATCACGAGGTCAGGAGATCGAGACCATCCTGGCCAACATGGTGAAACCATGTGTCTACTAAAATACAAAAAATTAGCCGGGCGTGGTGGTGTGCATCTGTAGTCCCAGCTACTCAGGAGGTTGAGGCAGGGCAATCGCTTGAACCCGGGAGGCGGAGGTTGCAGTGAGCTGAGATCACGCCACTGCACCCCAGCCTGGCAACAGAGCAAGACTCCATCTCAAAACAAAACAAAACAAAACACCATATAAACCTAATGGCATCTGCACCCTCCTGCCCCCATTTCCTCCCTAGAGGAGAGTGAGCCTAGTTCCTTTGCCAAAACCAATTCGTTCACATAGCCTTTGAAACATGTCTTTTGAAAGATGTTCCTTTCTGTCATCAACTAAACATGCTAGAGTCACTTCAGTCTTGAATCAATAAATAAACTTCCTTCCAGAGACCCTCACATCTCCCACCAGCTATAACATTTTCCCTTTGTCTCTCCTAACTGCATAGCTATTTTTAAAAGGTCTGTCTCTTATTGCTATCCTCATTACAAATCGTGTTATTCTGCCCTAACCTGGCTTCTGATTGCATCATTCCACTTGAACCACTTGAACAGCCTTCATTAAAGTCATCAAGTGATCTCAATGTCCTTAACTCAAGGGCCCATCTCAGTACCCATCTTCCTTGACCACTGTGCCATGTTGGCATTGTTGACCACTCCCTTCCTTGTGAAAAACCCTCCTCTCTTCTCCACTTTGGTGGGACACATTTCTTCAGGTTTTCTCAGTTATCTCTGGTTATTCCTTTGTGCCCTTTCAGGCCATCTTTTTCTACTTGGCCATTAATGACAGGGTTTCCTAAGGTTCCACCATGGGCACCTTCTCATCACATACTTCCTCCTCAGACTTTCCACATCTACAGCCTTGAGGACCACTGCTCAGATTGCATCTCCAATGCACAGCCTTCCCTGAGCTCTAGACCCACATTTCTTGCTATTTTATATCTGCATCTAAATGTCCCAAAAGCATCTCGAATTCAACATACCCAAAACAGGATTCATGATCTGGTCCTCTTCCAGGATTCTCCATCTCTCTGCACTTGCACAAGTTAATAAGAATCTGAGTTATACTTGACACACTGTCTTCCCCAAATTCTGCACATTCTAACTCTAAGAGCACCTTGATCCATCCATTCATCCATTTCCACTTGCTCTATCTCCACCCTTGTACAAACCACTGTTGCTTCCCCTCTGGGACTACTGCAAGGGCCTCCTGACTGATCATTCTGATTTCTCCCTTATCCTCTTCCAGTTCATTCTCCCTATGACAACCAAAATGATCATTTAAGAATACAGAACTAATTATATCACATCTCTGATTAAAATCCTCCAATGGCTTCCCATGACACAGGATATAGGCCAAAATCTTTAACATATCCTAAAAAGCTTTGCATGGTCTGACTTCTATCTATTCCTCCATCCATATGAAACCGGCCCTCTGCCATTACCCCTTCTTGACATAAGAATGTATCCTGGTATTTCCTCCATTGAGACATTCATCTTCTACTCTTTACCTAGCGTACACCCTGTTGCCCATCCAATGTGTACACAGAAAGTCACTTCCTCAGAAGAATCTTCTCAGAATCTCAAGACTAGCTCACTTCTGCTGATGATAAGCTCTTCTGGCACCATATAATTCTGTAATTATTTGGTCAATGTCTACATCCATCACTAGACTAGAAACTCCATGAGGGCAGAGGAGAATGTCTTTCTGGCTCACTACTCTTTTCTCAGTGCTTATACCAGTGCTAGGAACACAGTAGACATTTAACTAATGTTCTCAGTGAGCACTCACCTATGTGCCAGACATTATTCTAGTGGTAATACAGCAATGAACAAAACAAACCTGATCAGTGTCCTTGTGAAACCTGCATCATAGTAGAAAAGAAATGAAATTAAACAAGTAAATAAACATATCATATTAATAAGTAATAAGTGCTATAAAGAAAATAGTAGAGCAAGGGGATTGAGAATGTTAGACAGTAGTGCACTGAAGCACTTTTGTTTAGGGTCTAAAGGCTATTTTGGATAGAGAAAGCCTTTCTGAGGAAGTAGCATGTGAGCAGAAACTTGAATTAAGTGAGAAAGCTGATATGGAAAGAATCAGGAGAAGAACTTTCTGAACAGAGTGAAGGCAAGTACATAGGGAAATGAGCCAGGCATGTTTGAGGGGCAGCTGAAAGGTCAGTGTGGAATGACAGGAAAGTCGTGCCAGTAGAAAGTGAGGTTGGAGAGGAGGGCAGGGGCATATCACCATGTGAGGATTTGCCCTTCAGAGTTGGACCCCTTGTTGTGTAAGAAATACTGAAACATGTTTTTTTCAAAGTCCAGATCTCCAGGCTCCAATCCCAGTTCTGCCACTAGCAGCTGAGTGGTGCTGGTGCTGAAAGCAAATCATGTTCTCTCTGTTCCTCAGTTTCCTTATGTGATCAATGAGAATTTGAAATTAGATTATTTCTAATGTTCTTTCGAGATCTAAAATTTATTTGTTATGAATGTGATTTGATAAGGAGAACTGGGTTAAAGGTCCTAGTATGCAACTGTGATTTTGTGCAAGCTTCTTTTCCTTTCTGAGTCTATTTTAATGTTTGAAAAACAGCAATAGGAGAGCCTCCTGTCAGGATTGGCATGCCAATCAGAAGACGTGGGCTGTGAAAGTTTTGCATAAATTGTAGTGTGTTTTATAAACCTGTTGCTGAAATGTATTGAGAATCTACGGTATACTGGGCACCATTGAAGGTTCTGTGTGTGTTTTTTTATCCTCACAGCAATCTCAGGATGTAGGCCTATTTAACTGAGACCAAGAGAGAGTTTTTTATTGCAAGTTCTCTCCTGTAGTCAAATGACAGAGTTAGTTTTGCATCCAGATCCTGTTGGCTTCAAGGCTTGAAAACTCCTCACTAGAACACAAGGTCTATCCAAATGTGTGAGTGCAGAGGCAGGGTGGGGAGGTAAGGAGCTCTTTGAAAGCCCAGTCCCAAGGGCATTATTGATATAAAAGAAATTTACCTAACAGTAATGCGATATTTGTATTTCAGTATTAAGACTGCTTGAAATCATCTACATCATAATGACATTTTTTCAAATTCTTACTAAAGAGAGAAACACGTACAACCCAGAGTTCATCATGGAACAGTAATCAATCATTCTTATATCTGGTCATTCATCTATTGAGCACCTACTATGTGTCAGGTCTTACCCAAATTGGTAATGAGACAGAAATGAAGAAGATGCCTTTGACTTCAAGGACCATACAGCTTCAAAAATGAACGTGGGGATAAAAATGATGTTGAATTCTGACAGTTGGGGTAAGCAGAGCCATATGCAATGTTCAGTGAACACCAAGGGGAAGCTGTGCATAAACCAGGAAGAACCTTGCACAAGAAATGTTGCTTAGAGCTGAGATTGATATTTAAGAAGTGGATTTATGGACTCACTAGTACTAAGGAAAGCAGGGTTATCATCTCCCTCTCCTTGAACCCTATACCATATTTCATAAACACTGGCATACATATTTATTCCATGTTTTAATATCTGGGAAATAAGGATGCATCCCAGAGTTGCTGACATCTTACAATCACTGCTGACTGGCAGTCAGCCATCATTACCTATACGGACACACTTGGTCAGAGCTGCTCATACCACCATCACTTCTACTGAGTTGTGCACATTGCTGTTCCTACAAGTGCTGAGTTTGATTGACGGTTAAAGGATCTTCAAAAAGATTACACCGTAATTCATCTTTGAAATGAAAAGTTATTTGCACTCAGAAAAGCCCAGAAACAGTGCAGCATGATATTTGGATACAAATGCATCTAAGATATTTCTTACTAAGTAGGAAACAAAAATTCAAAGTGACAAGAAATTATTGTCATAACTTTTACTTGGCAGCATCTTTTTGTCCTGGTGGTACATAAAATAGTAGTACACCTTATATTATACCTGATGCCTCTTAGGCTAAGTGAGATGTTGAATTTCAGTTAATCTAGGCAAATCTCATATTTTTAGAAGCTTTATTAACTCACATTGAGCTTTGGGGGCACTTTATGTGATCCAAGCTGGTTTTGTGAACTCCTGCCATGCTATCCCTATGCGATTGACTCAAGACCTTACTTTTTTCCTAGCAAGATAGCACTGGGCTAAATTCAGCTCAGTGTTCCAGGCTGTTGAGAATGGCTCGAATTGTGATTCAGTTATCCCATATATTAACCACCCCTTGTGTCATCCGTGCTGACACTTCCTGGTCACCAAAGGATGATCTTATTATCTAAGCATGTTATTTATAAGGAATTTCACAGCTGAAGCAAGGTACAGAATGACCTACTCTAAACCAAGAGCGATTAACAAGTTTGGAGCCAAGCCAAACTCCAGAACAAGGTTGTTGTTGGCATGATTTTAATCATGATAGACAATTAGCCAAGCCTAATTATATTGAGACGAGAAACCAGAGTGAGTGGCAGTAATGAATTTCTCTGGGAACTCCCTTGTGTCTCCAACTCAAACTGGATGACCTATAAAGGATGTAAAATGATAAAAGATGTTTGCCTACTTATACAAGCTGTGTTTACCTCGAGGAGCAGCCCATGTGGGGAAGGGGTCTGAAGGACTCTCTCTTCTATGGGGACTCATCACAAGACACAAATGGGATTCTCAGTTCCACTGGCATTTTTGCTTCAGGAAGGAGATGCAGAAGAGAGGAAACATCTTTCAGCTGCACTTGGGCACATTAAACGTTAATGTGATTATGTAGCTGGGGATTCTTTAAATGTCGCCCATGGCTGAAGTATTACCGGAGTTGTGCATTAGCACTTTTTGGTGTTATAAAGGCTTAATATTTTCACTGACTGTGTCAAGCCCAAATAGAAACCTGGAACTTCAATAGAATGAGAAAATGATTAGAATGTAAAAAAAAAAAAATTGTAACAATTTGACACTTCTTGCCTCTAGGTTTAGAAATGGAATTCAAAAGGAAACTCTCCTTAAGTCTCTAGTCTCCTTTCCCATTATGGATTTTAATTGACTTATTATAATTGAAATATAGAAGAAAGAAAAGTTCTAGAGAATAACTGAAATCTATAGTTTATATAGTTCTTTAGAGTTCACAGAGTATACTGACATTTAATTCTCACACCAGACCCCCACACGCACTTTGGAAGAATAAACAGTTTTACCATATTTAAGCTGAATAAACCGAGGTTCAGTGTTTTTGACTTATCTAAGTGAAATGGCCGAAATACACACAAAGCCTCTGATTGCAAGATCGGGTTGTTGCCAATGGAAAAACTAAAAATTAAATAAATAAAGATTCCTTTAAGGTGAAGTTTGAGATTGGCTCTTTCAGTGGGGTGGACATTCTCAGTGGGAAAGCAATGTCAGTCAATGTGTGTGTGTGTGTGTGTGTGTGTGAGCTGTGAATACGTCAGCCTGCCTCCCTCTTTTTCTTCTTTCTTCATCTTTCGGTCTCACCCTTCCTTCCACTGAATACTTCTAGTAAATATCTCCTGCATTTCTAGGAACAGTACTGGGTGGTGGGAATAGACAGAAATATATAATACACAGCTCCATCCATACACCAAGTTCATAGCAGCATTTTTCTCAGTAGCCCAACGGTGGAAGCAACTATGTATTCATCTATGGATCAGCGGATTAACAAAAGTGATACATTCATATAATGGAATACTATACTGCCTTTAAAAGGAAAATAATTCTGATACATGCTACAGCATGGATGAACTTTGAAGGCATTATGATAAATGAAGTAAACCAGACTTAAAAGGACAAATACTGTACATTCCTACTCATACAAGTTGCCCAATATAGCTAAATTTAGAGAGACAGAAAGTAGAATGGTTGGTACCAGGGGCTGGGGGGAGGAAGGAAGAAATAGGGGGTTAATGTTTCATGGGTGGGTTCTGGAGATGGATGGTGATAATGGTTGCACAATAATGTGAATGTACTTAATGCCACTGAACTGTAAACTTAAAATGGTTAAAATGATAAATTTATATTATGTATATTTTGCCACACACACACACACACACACATACACACAATTTGATCCCTGCCCTTCAGTGAGCACCATCTGTACTAACAGCCCATGGGGGAGGCGGGCTGCTATGTGACATGTGCTCTGAGAGTGGAATCACGGGGTAGCATAGGGGCATAGAAGAGAGTTCACAGTGCAGCCTAGGGATGAGCAAGGAAGCCAGGGATAGCTTCATGAACAATGTGCTGCAGATGCCTGAATTAAGTCTGAAAAAAATTTGAATTTCTCCAAGCAAAGTCAAGGGGCAAAGGGGGATGATTATTTCATGCAAAGAGAGCTGCAAGTGCAGAAACACAGAGGCTTAAGAAAGCCTGGTGTGGTTAAGGAGATGCAAAAAGTCATTTGTGACTGGAGCCCGGAGCTCAAGACCATCTGGCTACTATTCCTCTCAGAGAGTTAAAGCGACTTGCCCAGTAGGGTTAAAGCTATGTTTGAAACCAGGGTTTTCCTGTTTTAAAAATCCATTCTCCTTTCACTATCCTAGGCTCTAGAGTTCTGCTGTGAAATACGGTGGCTATTTAAATTTAAATCTAATTTATTCAAGTTAACTAAAATTAACAATTCAGTTCCTCACTCAGACTAAGTACATTTCAAGTGTAGCTAGTAACCTGCTGATGTGGACAGCTCAGATACAGGAAGTTTTCATCACCTCAGCAAGTTTTATTGAACAGGCATTTTCTAGAGTTTCCAGAGTAATTCTCTTGCTATGAATCTCTTTGTATATTAGAGCACCACCCCAAATCCTGACGTTATTATCCCCATTTTTAAGAAAAAGAAACTGCAGTTTAGAGAAGCTGAGTAACTTGGTGATAGTTTGTTTCACAGCTATTAAGCAGTAATGCTGGAACATAAATTCCAAAGCCCTCTGAATCCATATTCAGTACACTGTTCATTAATCCATAGCCTCCTGCTGTCTTCAGCTGCCTCTTTGCTCCTGCTCCACATTCAGATTATTCTTCCTAAAAGACCACTTTTCAGGAGACTATGAACATGTCTTTTCTTTGTCAACTGGAGAAAACACAGATCTCTTAGTTTGACAACTAAGGCTTTCCACAAATTGAGATAAATATACTCTGCAGTTTCTTCTTCTTCTCTTATTTCTTTTTCAACACTCATTCTCTGCTCCAGGAGCCGAATGTGTCAGTCACATTTTAGCCTCTGAGCCTTTGCTGTCCCTGATGCCCCTTCCTAGACTACCGCTCCCTTCCTTTCTGCCTTCTAGAATCTCACTTGACTTTCAAGTTCTAGTTCATGACCCACCTATCTAGAAAGTCTTCCTCGATCAAACTGGGCTGCAAAGAGCTCCCTTTTCTCTCTTTCGTGGAAGCCAGGATGCAGCTTATGTGATGCTACGTGGGAAACCTCTCCTCTGCTTCTATAGAGGCCGCTCTTCTCATTCTACTAATGGAAACACGGCATTGCCAAGTGGAATCTCATGTAGACCTCATTCCTCATCTTGGTGAACTATTGGTGCAAGTATTAACCCTCCTTGATAGCTATACTCAAGCTCTGCTCTTACTACTTGTTGAATTTGCTTTTCCCACATTTTGCTTGACTTCAGCTCTCCCTGCTATATGACAACCATTGTATTGGGCACGTTTATTATATTTTTTTATTTGTTGTCCTCCAACAGTTCTATAAAAAATATATTGTTATCCTTTTTTTAATTTAATCTAATTTTTAATTTTTATTTTTTTGAGATGGAGTCTCGCTCTGTCACCCAGGCTAGAGTGCAGTGGCGCAATCTCGGCTCACTGCAAGCTCCGCCTCCCGGGTTCACGCCATTCTCCTGCCTCAGCCTCCCGAGTCGCTGGGACTACAGGCGCCTGCCACCACGCCTGGCTAATTTTTTGTATTTTTAGTAGAGACAGGGTTTCAGTGTGTTAGCCAGGAAGGTCTCCATCTCCTGAACTCATGATCCACCCGCCTCAGCCTCCCAAAGTGCTGGGATTACAGGCGTGAGCCACCGCGCCCAGCCAAAAAATATATTGTTATCCTTATTTTACCCAAAAGGTAACTGAGGCTCAGTGAAGATAGATGAGTTACAAATTCATAGAGAGATGTGAAGTGAGATGGGAATTGGATCCGAAGCCTATGCTCTTTTCCTTGTTGCAGTATAAGCCTTCTCTGCATGTGGCAAGACATTTCAAGTTATTACAGTGAATATGTGGAAGCTGTGTCCTTCTCAACTGTGAAAAAATTCTACCTGTATGTTATACTCAACATATATTAACTAAAAGTATATTATAGTTATTACTCCAAAACTTTGCAAGTTTCATTTGTATCAACTCTCTACCTTGGATATGGCATTGAAGTCCACTTAATATGAAGGGTGGAAGGAGCATACAATTTAAAGCCCTGGCCTTGTTTTGAAGCTCCATCACTCGTTGTTTAGATATTGTTCAAATAGCAGTAGTTATAGATTTTGACTTTTTGTTAAATAACATTTTCTATCAGAAACTTTGTGAGTTCTGTAGTCATTATTAATGGGTTCTCTAGTTTGTAAACTGAAACCAGAACAAGTGTTCTACTACGTAGCATGAGGGTTTAGGAGAAAACACTCACATAAGGAAGTTACGGGTTGAGATTTTTTTTTTAATTTCATAAAAATCCTAGAGAATTAAAAAGTTAAAGCAGCCTAGGCAATCCTATACATTAAAATGAAAACATTAAAAAATGAAATTATGATCACCAAATTATAATTATTGCTGTGATGTGATAAAATATTAAATATGTAATAAATAATAAAGTGAGTACTGAATCAAGATCTGATCTCAGATCTTCCAGAAGCTAACCTTGAAGTGGTCACCGAACCTACCCAAAGCCTAGGTCTTCTAGAACACAGTAATGTTATGTAAATGAGTAAATTAATAAATAAAGATGTTATGTCTTAGTTCATTCAGTGTGCTATAATGAAATACCACAAGCAAGCCACAAAATTCTGTGGCTTATTAGCAACAGAAATTTATTTCTCACCATTTGGGAGGCTGAGAAGTTCAAGATCAAAACACCCACATATTTAGCATCTGGTGAGGGCCACTTCTTTGTTCATAAATGGCACTTCTTGCTGTGTTCTCACATGGTGGAAGCGGACAAGGCAGCTTTCTTGGGCCCCTTTTAGAAGGGCAATCATCCCATTCATAAGAGCTCCACCCTCATGACTTAATAACCTCCCAAAGGTCTCCCCTCCTAAATGGATCACATTGGCAATTAGGTTTCAACGTATGAGTTTAACAGAGAGGGGACATAAACATTCAGACATTAGCATTTGAATGAGTCACTCCCTAAAATTTCTTCCACATTAGTAGTTTATGAGTCATACCTTCAATTTTGCTGTGTTTACAAGAAAAGTATTCTGAGAAAGACAGAAGGCTTGTATCATTATAGTATTTAATCAGTTTACCTATATAAAGAGAGCAATTGCACAATTATGTTTCATTCAGCAAAGGTTCCTGGGGCTTCAGCTGGGCAAAAGATAGGCCCTGGGTTAGACACTGTGGGGATATAACAATCAGTTAGACATAAGGGCTGGAAGTCTAATTTAGACATACTTGTAATCGAACCACAGGGGTCATTGTTGAGGGAGGCTTTGTGAGCATGGTGAGAAGAAACGGAGTCAGCCTGGAGGGTTAGGGAATTGAGAATGGATCTTTTGAAGACAGTTTTAAAGACCAATCTGTTTCCCATCCCGAGTCCCAGAGATGGTTTTAATGTGCCTCTTTGTAATGAGATAGTTTGAGAATCTAGTAGACCCAGTGCAACAGCTAATATCTACCAATAGCTAAGACCACAGAGGGATGTGCTTTCTTTAGGGGCCAACTGTTTCTCATTCATGTATTTAAAGGCCTGACCTGGGATGTTGGTTTCTTTGTTTATTTTGCAATCCTGCCTCTGTCTCAGCACAAATAATCTGTGCAGATCTGAAAGCTTGATACCTTCTTCCCAATAATGCCCTAGAAATAAAGTAAGCAATGATGGAGTGGCAAAAGCATCAAGAGGCAGCTTATCCTGACACCCACTTTCAATAATTGTGGATTTGGAGGCCCAGAGAGTCAAAGGATTTGCCCAGATTGATTCCAAATAATGGGAGAGCTGGGATTAGCATGTGGGTCTTCCATCGATGTGCCCTTGTTTTTACTTTCTGCTAATTGTAAGTTTAGGATTTGCCTTTTAATAGTAGTAGAGTAATAAAAGAGATGTAATTTATTAAGCTTCTAGTTTATGCCAGATGGCATATATTTCTTACCTTTACACTTCAAAATCGATATTATTATTATTTTCATTTTGTGGATGAGAAAATTGAATTTTAAAAACATATAAATTTGCTCAAAGTCAACAGTGAGTGGCAGGTGAGTCTAGCTATGTATGTTACTCTCTTATGTTATCTGGCAGTGCAGCACCTATATAATTTTTATTTTTATTTTTATTTTATTTTATTATTTTATTTTGAGATAGAATTGCACTCTTGTTGCCCAGGCTGGAGTGCAATGATGCGATCTTGGCTCACCGCAACCTCCACCTCCCAGATTCAAGTGATTCTCCGGCCTCAGCTTCCCAAGTAGCTGGGATTACAGGCATGCACCACCACACCCGGCTAATTTTGTATTTTTAGTAGAGATGGGGTTTCTCCATGTTGGTCAGGCTGGTCTCAAACTCCTGACCTCAGGTGATCTGCCCGCCTCGGCCTCCCAAATATACAAACTTTTTTTTTTTTTTTTTTTTTGAGACGGAATCTGGCTCTGTCGCCCAGGCTGGAGTGCAGTGGCACGATCTTGGCTCACTGCAAGCTCCCCCGCCCGGGTTCATGCCATTCTTCTGCCTCAGCCTCCTGAGTACCTGGGACTACAGGTGCCTGCCACCATGCCGGCTAATTTTTTGTATTTTTAGTAGAGACAGGGTTTCACCGTGTTAGCCAGGGTGGTCTCTATCTCCTGACCTCGTAATCCACCCGTCTTGGCCTCCCAAAGTTCTTGGATTACAGGTGTGAGCCGCCGTGTCTGGCCCCCAAATATACAAATTTTTTAATGTGCATACCAATTGATCCAGCAATTCCATTTTAAGTCAGCCTAATTATACCCATGACCCATAGAATCATTGAGATAACTAGATATACTCAATAGCAATATAAGATTTAGCTTGTGAGTTCATTTGTATAAGGATGGTTATTACAATATTATGTATAATGGAAAAGGAAAGGAAACAGTCTCAATGTTTCTCAGTTTGGTAATGGTTAACTACATTATGGCAATCTGTATTATAGAATATTAGTCAGCGTTAAAAAGTTGAGTTGATTCTCTATACAGTCATGCGTCCCATAATGATGGAAATATGTTCTGAGAAATGCATCTTTTGGTGATTTCATTATTATACAAACATCATAGAGTGTACCTACAAAAATCTAGATGGTATAGCCTAAAACACACCTAGGCTATGTGGTATTGTCTATTGCTTCTAGGCTACAAATCTGGACAGCCTGTTACTGTACTGAATACTGTAGGCAGTTGTAAAACAATTTCAGAGGGTAGAATTAGATGGGGAAGAATATGGCCTAGACTGAATCCTTAAGTGGCTTACCAGGTGTTGAGCATCAGAGAAATGAAATATGAAAGCCAAGTGCCAGAACTAGAGCAGATCTTCACCCTGAAACAGAGGGAAGGTCTGGGTGTTGGTGCAGAGCAAGAGCAGGGCCACACGTGGTGAAGGATCTACAGTGGTTGCCCTGGCCCCCACCAGAGTTCACAGTTGTTCTCACAGCCAGCGGGCATCTGGGAGTAAGCCAAGCTGTCTTGATCCTGCAGGGTGGAGGAAGAGGTCAAAGATGTTCCATGCCAGGAAGACCACCAAAAGCTGGAGACTGTGGATGAGGGCTCACTGTGGGCCTCCAGTGGGTATCACTCAGGTCAGAGAAGAATTAAGAGGAACTATATCTACCTCTACCTGTGTTCTTTCCACCTCCAAAGTCTGGTTCCATCGCATCATCCCTAAAAGCTGAATGTCTAGACTTGACCTGGGCCACCATCTGGCTTGCTCTTCTGTGTCCCTGCCCAGGAAACCTGTGTTTGATTGCTTGGAGCCTTCTAGCTGTTCAGGTCTCTGTTCCCCTCCTTGGGAACCTGTTCCTGACATTTATATGCCGAGGTCGTTGTTTTTTTTTCTTTTTTTTTTTAATTTTTAATTTTTGTGGGTACATAGTAAATGTGTATATTTATAGGTTACATGAGATGTTTTGACCTGTCTTCTTTTCTTTCTTCACATAAGGGTCTGGGACTTGGCCTGCCTTATATTTTTGTTCAATACTATCTCATGAAGATTTATCACCTCTGTCCTCTGTATTCTTCCCTTCCCAAACCTATGAGGAGTGGGACATTCTCCTCTGCATCTCCTTTTCTTATTGTACCTGAAGCTGAGCCTACTGGCTCATCCCACTGAGGGTTTTACCATCATTTAATAGGATAGAGTCGGGGGGAGGGTAAGATGGGAAGCAAACTAAAAAAACATATATCTCAAAAACTATTATCCTCATCTTTAGTTTCACAATCTCTTGTTTCTTTGAGTAAAATTCCCCTCAGGGTTTCACTCTGTATACAATTTACTACCATTCCGGGAAGCTTACACTTTCCACACAGACAGACAATTAAGACAAAACAACAGGTACAAACTATGCTGCTTGTCATAGACCAGACTGGCAGTCTCTCCTCCTCTGGGTCCCACAAAGGACAGCACTTTGCTGTATTTCCTCCCTGAAGGTAATAGAAATTAAAGTTAGGGTCCTCTCCTTTGGGAATTTAATAGTAAATCCTAGAAGAGGCACTCTGAAGACTGGTGAGGCAATTTTAATGCACATGCATGAAAATAGACCGAACCAAAGCTGAGCCTCAATTTGGGCAATATCGATGTCCCAGAGCCCCTGAGTGTTAATCAAATGTTTGTAAATTGCACATCTTTTAACTGTGTTTTGGGAGCGCATAATTTAAAGCAATCCTGAAAAATCCTCTGGTGCTACAACTAATTAACCTAATTTATCTGTTTTGTAAATCTGAATTTACTCCTAAGGATCAAGTGTTTGGAGAGTAAAAGTTAGAGAAGGTACAATTAATTAGGGAAGCCTTCCTGGAAGGGGTGAGCAGGGCCAAATCTTAGAGGAGACAGTGATTGCAGATCCTCTAAAGGACTGAAAAAAAGAAATGCAGCAAGCTTCAGTGAACGGCCGCCTTATATCTTGGCAGCAATGAATCATCTTGTGAATAACAATGGAAACATCTCTTATGGGTGCACAATAGTTTACAGTTTACCAAGGACTTTCTTGAACATCACAGTGATTATGACAGCCAAGAGGATGTACTGAGTGCATGCTCTACACCAGTGCTAAGTGTTTAAACGCATCATCACAGTTACCCTACCGACACTCACTGGGTTTGAAGTTAGCATTTCCTTTTTAAAGAAGAGGAAACTAAGGCTCATGGTGCTTAAAGTCACACATGTTGTGCTAAAGTCAGCTGGTTAACAGAGGAGCAAAGATCTGAATTCAGGTCTGTTTGACTCTGTGGTTCTAATCATATCATGTGCTGGAGCTCAGAGCAGGATAGAAAAGGTTGGCAGTGGATGACAACAGACATCAGCACAAATATGAATCATTTATTCTGTATTCCCTGATGCCAAGCACTATACTAAGCATTTTACATGCATTATCTTACTTATTCCTCCAAATAACCTTCTGATATAGTTGTCAAATCCCACTTTATCAGGAAACCGAAGATCAGAGAGGGGGTAAGTAATACATTCAGAGTTACAATGCTAGTAAAAATGTTAGAGGGTCTCACCCCATAGAACAATCTCTTAACTACTACTCTCCCATGCTCCAGTCTTCTTCCTAAGACACTTGGGGACCCAGGGTATATAAAATCACCATCATTGTCCTCATGACATGAACTTCATTCTCTGGAAGCAGGACATTTCAATGCTATGCAGCATGGGAAGAAGGGTCACAGGGCATACAGTAGCACACAGGAGGGCTGCTTTGCTAAGCCTGTAGATCTTGAGGTTGGCTGCTATCCTCCCTGTTTTACAGATGAGGAATTGAGTTACCTACAGCTTTTGATGTGTTCAACTTGACACAATTTGTGAGAGTCAGTGCCAGGACTTGATACCTCCACTCAGTCTCTCTGCCTCAGTTGTCAATACCCGCTTTATTATACAGTCTCGTGATTTTCCAGAAAATGTTAAAACGTTTTTGAGGCAACTTGTTCACCAGCACCACACAGGCATTTTGCCTATGTGACATCAACTTCTAGAACCAATATTCTCTTTCTCTCTCTCTCTCTCATTCTCAAATAAAACTTGGAATTACAATCCCAGTACTGAGACCTCTTTTCCAATTACTCTCTCCCTGGGTTACCTTAGCCAGCTTCATGAATTTAAATGCCATCTATATGTCTGTGACTCTCAAATATATGTCTCCAGCTCTGGCCTCATTCTAAGCTCCAGACTGCCTCCTCCACATCTCCATTCAGAAGTCGACAAGTCCCAAACAGAGCTCTTTGGTGTTCTTCCAAGCAAGCTCCTCCCTGGTCTCCTCCCTACCTATCATTGGCAGCATCATTTGAACTCAGGACAAAAATAAGTAAATAAATAAATTGGAATCAAATTATTTCTCACCATGCCTTTGCTTGCTTGGAAAGGACCATTTGTTCAGTTGCATCAGCTCATAGCTGGTCTCCTTGATTCCTCTCCCACTCCCCACAAGCTGTTTTCTACGTAGCAGCCTGAGGGGTATTTACAACAGGTAAATTAGATCATTCTTGATTCCCCTGGCACAAAACACATCTTCAAAAAATTCCAGTAACACTCATTACATTTAAATCAATCCAGGGGACTGATGTGGCCCCCAAGGCCCAGGATGATCTGGCCCCTGATAACCTATTTCCATAGCCCTGTCTCTCCCTTTAGATGGTGACTCAGCACTTGATGCTCATTCCTACCTCTGGCTTTTACCCTCCATGTTTCCTGCCAGGAAATGCTTCTTTCTGAGACTTTGTATAGCATGCACTTTCACTTCTTCCAGGTTTAGGCTCAAATTTGCCCACCTTGCCCCCACCTCTCCCTTGTGCATATGTATCATTGTACCCTCACGGTTCCCACAGCATGTATAACCACATGAAATGCTGTTGTTTATTCGTTGATTTTCCTATTAATTGCTCATTTTACCTCTAGAAAGTATGCTGCATAAGGGCAGGGATATGATGATCTGTCTTTGCTGTTCAATCCCAGTGTCTAGGATAATGCCTGGTATATAGTCCTCTTCCTAAGACACTTGCAACCCAGGGTATATAAAATCACCATCGGTGTCTTCATGACATGAACTTCATTCCCTGGAAGTGGAGTCAGAACTGGAAGCAGGACATTTCCAGGTATATAGGAGATGCTCAGTAGAAAAGTTGAGTTAATATGATTGCACCACTGCACTCCAGCCTGGGCAACGGAGCAAGACCCTGACTCAAAAAAAACAAAAACAGAAAAACAACAACAAAAAAAAGTTGAATTAATAAATGTATTAGTCTGTTCTCATGCTCCTGATAAAGACATACCCGAGACTGGGTAATTTATAAAGAAAAAGAGGTTTAATGGACTCACAGTTGCACATAGCTGGGGAGGCCTCACAATCATGTTGGAAGGTGAAAGCACATCTTACATGGCAGCAGACAAGAGAGAATGAGAACCAAGGGAAAGGGGTTTCCCCTTATAAAACCGTCAGCTCTCATGAGACTCATTCACTACCATGATAATAGTATGAGAAAACCACCCCCATGATTCAATTATTTCCCACTGGACTCCCCTCACAACACATGGAAATTATGGGAGCTATAATTCAAGATGAGATTTGGGTGGGGACACAGCCAAACCATATCAGTAAATTAACTATTCTTTTTCATTATAAAAAATACATGTTATAAGATCAATTGAGGAAATAATGATATAAAAAAGAAATGCACATTTTGGCATATTTCCTTGCCATCTTTTTCCCATGCATATTTTTACGTTGAGATTATTGTGTACATTCAATTTATATTCTACTTTTCTATTTAAGATATCATAAGCAATCCTCCACATTGTGTCTAATATTTCATGTAATATGTGTTCAAATAGACCTTAATTTTCTTCTATCTTGAGTTACTTCCTGAAAAACACTTACACAAGTATGGTAGGCTCTCTGTGCTCTCTTTTGTGTTGAAGTAAGACAGGGTAGTACATTTGAAAGACTGTAAACGTGAGCAAGTTATTAACCTCTCTAGATCTCAATATCTTTATCTATAAAATGGGGATAATAAAATCCACCATGCTTAATTTATTGGCTTGTGCAAGAATCCAGTGAAGTATTGAGGCAAACATCTCATTAAATATTGGGGTGAATGTCATTTTTAAAACCACAGCATTGTGCAAATGGAATAAGATTTATAGGAGGGAATACAATAAGTAATTTGTAAAACAATTTGAAATTTGTGAATAAAAAGCTATTGGCAATTTTTCTATGCTGAGTGAGACATGTCCTAATGTTTGTATTTAATATGCTAAACAGTTGCCAATGCCTAATTCTAGGTTCATACCCTGCAATAGCTTTTCTTGTTTTTTTTTTTTTTTTTTTTTTTTTTTACAACTTTCAGCTGTAAAACTGGGGTCAATTATTTTTAGCTGTTTCTTCAGCCTGTCTCATTAGAAAAGTACTTCGAGGTAATGACTTGGGCATATTTATTTGATGATTCTTCATTTTGAAAGATGTCATTTTAAGACTTTTCTGGAAGTTTCAAATTTGCCTTTGGGAGATCTGTTTTATACCAAAATGTCATTTCAAATTCAGGCCTACATACTGTCTTACACTTGGTCCATATAAATGTTTCACAGCACCTGCATTTTTTATCATCGCTCTTTCATGCGAACTTAGATTTCGTGTGGCTCACCTCTGCTCTCTGTCTGAAGGGGAAAAAGTAATATTTTTAAATGGCCTTTTTCCCCTTTGTCAGAGGAGATAAAATTTCCCAATTATTTCCCCCTCATGCATAGATATTTATATTAATATTTTAAATAATGGATTCTCTATAGCATTATTCATGAATCCATGTGTTAAATTTAAAACAAATGTATCCTAAAAATGAATATTTAATCTGTGTTTAATACCTGAAACCAGATTCATAGTGGTTTAATTTCTTTGATCATTAAAGAAACTTAGGAAATGATTTAGATTATTTTATTCACTCAACAAATATTTTAACAAGCTTATTGAGTACCTCCTACATTATCTCTTTTTTTTTTTTTTGAGACAGAGTCTTGCTCTGTCACCCAGGCTGGAGTGCAGTGGTGTGATCTCAGCTCACTGCAACCTCTGCCTTCTGGGTTCCAGCAATTCTCCTGCCTTAGCCTCCTGGGTAGCTGGGATTACAGGCACCTGCCACCATGCCTGGCTAATTTTTGTATTTTTAGTAGAGACAGGGTTTCACCATGTTGGCCAGGCTGATCTCAAACTCTTGACCTCAGGTGATCTGCCCACCTTGGCCTCCCAAAGTGCTGGGATTACAGGCATCAGGTAAGTATCATCATCATCGTCATCATCGTGGCTGTATTATGAATAAGCAAACAGATACTCAGAGCTGTATAGCTCCCATGGGATGGCTCTCTGCTACAGTTTAGGGTCTGAGGTTTGACAGAAGAATATATGTGAATAAAATTCTTGGAGTAAACAAACAAGAGAAGCCAAGTACAACAGCAAGAATGAGAGAGGTGTTGGGGGCGAGGGTGGCAGGGAGAGACAGAGAGAGAGGCCTAGTAGAAAACGGAAATGGGGAGGGATTGGATTAGATTGAGAAGAATCTAGGTTGTGGGTAGCTCCCTATCTTTTGCATCACCTGGGGATCTTTAAAAATGACTGATGCTTGGCTCCCATTTCCGGACTGTGGTTTAATTGGTAAGGGATGTAGTGTGGGCATTAGGACTTTCTTTAACCTTTCTAAATGATTCCAATATGCAGCAAAACTAGGGAGCCACTAATCTTGGTAGTGCCTGGACTACTGTGTGTAGTGAGACTGAATGACTCAACTTTGTCAGTCATAAGTTCTCGCTTTTCTAGTAGGTTGTGCTGATTTATAGGCCTTGTTGGAATGGGCATAATGCTTACAAATAGGAAGCACAAGTCCAAAATCCCCTTGACGAAGAAAAAGAAAGGCAGTGAGCTTGAATGGGAAGAGGGCGGGCTTTAGTCACAACTTCTCTGAGCCTCAGCTTTCTCATCTCCAGAATGGCTACTGTGATGCCTATCTAGTAGATTTGTTGTAAGAATTACACTTATTATGAAGGCTGGGCATGGTGGCTCATGCCTATAATCGCAACACTTTGTGAAGCCAAGAAGGGCAGATCACTTGGGGTTAGGAGTTCAAGACCAGTCTGGCCAACATGGTGAAACCCTGTCTCTACTAAAAATACAAAAATTAGCCAGGCATGGTGGCATGTGCCTGTAATCCCAGCTCCTTGGGAGGCTGAGGCAGGAGAATCATTTGAACCTGGGAGGCAGAGGTTGCAGTGAGCCACGATTAAGCTACTGCACTCCAGCCTGGGTGACAGAGCGAGACTCTGTCTCAAAAAAAAAAAGAAAATTACACTAATTATGATGAAATTTATCTTATCCAATGGTATCAGAATCTTTGGACAGTTAATTGAAAAAATAATAATACTACTTAAGTCCAAGCAGGTGTAGCAGATAGTACTTTCCAAAGATGACTAAAATATATCTCATCCCACATGCTTTTTCAAATGTGACCCATTATCCCATCTAAGCTAGAGCCCATGTTCTTTCCTCTTGAACCTGGGTACCCATTTGTAAATGCTCAGATCAGTGGATTATGGCAGAAAGGACACCATATGATTTCAGAGTTTCGATCATAAAAGGCAACACAGCTCCCATCTGGCTTTGTCTTTTTTTTTTTTTTTTGAGACGGAGTTTCGCTCTGTCGCCCAGGCTGGAGTGCAGTGGCGCGATCTCGACTCACTGCAAGCTCCGCCTCCCGGGTTCACGCCATTCTCCTGCCTCAGCCTCCCGTGTAGCTGGGACTACAGGCGCGCGCCACCATGCCCGGCTAATTTTTGTATTTTTAGTAGAGACGGGGTTTCACCGTGTTAGCCAGGATGGTCTCGATCTCCTGACCTCGTGATCCGCCCGTCTCGGCCTCCCAAAGTGCTGGGATTACAGGCATGAGCCACCGCGCCCGGCCCCTGGCTTTGTCTTTCTCTTGCAATGCATGTCTTGAGAGCCCTAAGCTGATTTATATGAAGTATAGCTTCACTGGGTCTGCCATGCTAGAGACACCATGTGGAGAAGCTGCAGAGAGATAGAGGAAGATGCTCAAGGAGCTTCCATTGTGCCAGCCCCCAGCTATTTAAGTCTTTGTGCATCACCTGCCAGAAATGTAAATACAGTAGCCTTCAGATGATCCCAGCCCCTGATCTTTAAGCTGCCCCAGCTGACATGGAGTATAGAGAGACAAGCTGTCCCCAACAAGAATGCCAAAAATCCATATTCATGAGCTAAATAAATGTTATTTCTATTTTAAACTACAAACTTTTGGGTACTATGATATGCTGCATTAGATAACTAGAACACAGAGTTTTATATATTTTTATATATATAAAATATATATATTATATATGTTAAATAGCTTATTTCAAATTAAAACATGAAACAGTTCTTTTATTTAGTAACCTCCTCACCTAGATCCAAGGTCTTTTCTTATACATTATGTCCCACCGACCAGCATCCTGCATAAACTGTCTCTGTGAAGCATTTTCTGTGTGTGTGATTTCCAGGGTCAGTTCCTTTAAAGTAGAATGAGTGCTTAAAAACACTTAAAACAATTTTTACCACTTCTCCCTATTCCTTACAGATGTCCTGTAAATGCTCAACTTAATTCAACATTTTATTAGGCAGCTTATTTATTTTATCAAGTCTTTCCAAAGTATTGAACTTAGAGTTTATAAAAAGAAAAGTTTTTTTTTTGTAATATCATTGAATAAATGCATGTGTTAATCACAGGATTAAAATAACAAGTACAATCTGAATTAACAACTATATGGTGAGCTGATGTTAGCAGAAGGATACAGGTGTCCATAAGAGAAATCTACTAGCCATTCACCTTTTTTAAAGTTATAGATACTAGTCAGTAGACTTAGCAAAAGAATGGGAACCGGGCCGGGCGCAGTGGCTCACGCCTGTAATCCCAGCACTTTGGGAGTCCGAGGTCGGTGGATCATGAGGTCAGGAGTTCGAGACAAGCCTGGCACACATGGTGAAACCCCATCTCTACTAAAAAATACAAAAAAAAAAAAGTTAGCTGGGCATGGTGGCACGCACCTGTAATCCCAGCTACTTGGGAGGCTGAGGCAGGAGAATCGCTTGAACCCAGGAGGCGGAGGTTGCAGAAAGCTGAGATCATGCCATTGCACCTCAGCCTGGGTGACAGAGTGAGACTCTGTCTCAAAAAAAAAAAAAAAAAAAAAAAAGAATGGGAATATTGTTAAACAAATTGGTTAAGTGAAGGTTGGTTAAGAGAGCATCTATTATAACATGTATAAAGTCACTTGCATATAGTAGGCACTCATTAAAATGTTAGTTTCTTTAACCAATAAATCCCCATTTGCTAAAAAAAATCCACATCCAAATAGTCCTTGCCACAAAATGCCAGCAGAATAATTTCATTAACAAAGTAGCCTTTGACAGCCATCTAAATTTTGTACAGTTTCAGAAAATGCATTACATTCCTATTTGTGGAAGATCATTTCCCATAGGTTAGAGTTCAGATCAGGTGTGTCATATTTTCAAATCACTTGTTAAAAATCAAATACATTATGAGAGCCTTTCTAATTCTGTAACTACTGAATGCTTACAGTTAGCGCATTTACTAGTGCAGCCCTGAGACCCTGAAAACTAGCCCCAGATAAATCTTTGTACAACCTTAGGTGGGAATTGAACAATGAGAACACTTGGACAAAGGAAGGGGAACATCACACACCCGGGCCTGTTGTGGGGTCGGGGGCGGGGGGAGGGATAGCATTAGGAGAGATACCTAATGTAAATGACGAGTTAATGGGTGCAGCACACCAACATGGCACATGTATACATATGTAACAAACCTGCACGTTGTGCACAGGTACCCTAGAACTTAAAGTATTAAAAAAAATAGGATAGAGTCTAACATTCTGGGAAAGGCACTGCATTTTAGGATGAGGTGTGTAATTTATTGTAAAGTTTATCATAATAGAATCTAGCAGTTATTCACAGCTTTCATCAAAGCAAACTCCTTGACATCCTTTCAGGACTGGGTTCTGCTGAGCCATCCTACACATCACCACCAGAGTGATCGCCCCAACCCTTAAAACCAGTCACATCAGAATTCTACAGTGATTTCTCACCACTTGCAGAATGAAGTTTGGCCTCTGCAACATGGTTTATGAAGGTCTTTATGATAAGAGCCCTGACTTTCTTATCAGCCTCATCTCTAATCACTCCAATTTATATTAGGACCTAGAACCAAGCACAATACGCAGCATAATCAAGTGATATCTGACTGCATTTCAGCTACGTAAAACTAGTGTCCTGAAATAAGTGTTTTCCAAACTTATAATGGCCCTTTCTTTACTAAGGGGTCATGAAATCAATGTAATGGACTTCAGCCAGCCTTAACAAAATTAGAATGAAATAGAATAGAATGGGGTGGGGTGGGATAGGATAGAATAGAACAGATCAGAGTACACTATAAACAGGGTAAGTATTGTTTTATTAAACTCTGGTTTTAGGGGTCTGTGTGTGCATGTGAGTGCACACATGCCAAATTGTGATGCAAAGTATAATTTTTACAGTAGGTCATAAAATCAAAATATCAAAACCTCACAGCACTCAACCGTTTTGCATGTTGTTCATGCCACCTGTAAGGCCTTCTGTGTGCAACAGATCTTTGTCTCGCTGACAAATTCCAACTCAGTGTCCAGGACACAGTTTCTTCTGTGAAGCCTTGATTAGGCTTTTACTATGTGCCAGGTATAGTGTTACATGCTTTAGATATTATATGCCATTTTTATCTTCACAACAAACTTATCAGGTTGGGGCTGTTATTACCTCATTTTCTCGACAAGGAAATGGAAGGTGACAGACCCATTAAGTAAATTGCCTAAAATTGCACAGGTGCCAAGTGGTCAAGCTTGAATTTGAACCCAAGTCCTCTGAATCCAGAGCCTATGCACTTAGTCATTAAATTGAACAGCTCCTCTTTAACACCCCCCAGGCTGAGCCCAGCTCTTTCTCTTCTGTGCTCCCCTGACACATAGCTAGTCTGCAGGATGTCACTTTTTATACCATGTTGCAATTAACTGCTTACATGTCAGTCTCCCACACTAAGTTGTGTTATCTGTAAGGACAAGAACTGTGTCCTGTTCCTCTCTTTTGCTTTAGGATCATGCACTTATATGTGCAGCACGCTGAAAGCACTTGTTAAATATTAAATGTAATTCATATAACCCTTCACATTGGCTGCCAATGTGAGAATTATTACCATCTTACAGATGAAGAAACAGATTTATCCAAGAAAAAGGTCCCATTGTTCCTATTGGCCTCTTTCTGTTATAATAAATTTATTAATAAATTTTAGTAGAAGGGGTGATTACTTTGAATGAAGGTCAGGGAAAGTCAGGGGACTCTTCACAGAGGTAGGAGAAATTTTACTGACAGACAAATGTCAATAAAATTGACATTTTATTGGGACTCTGGGGCATGTTACAGATAATATAAAATATACATTTTTTCCCCATTTTCCATTCATGACTATACTGGTTTTTTTTTGTTTTTGTTTTTTGTTTTTTTTTTTTTTGAAGTGGAGTTTCTCTCTTGTTGCCCAGGCTGGAGTACAGTGGCGTGACCTCGGCTCACTGCAACCTCCACCTCCCAGATTCAAGCGATTCTCCTGCCTCAGCCTTCTGAGTAGCTGGGACTACAGGCGTGCGCCACCATGCCCAGCTAATTTTTTGTATTTTTAGCGGAGACAGAGTTTCACAATATTGGCCAGGCTGGTCTCAAACTCCTGACCTCAAGTGATCCACCCACCTCAGCCTCCCAAAGTGTAGGGATAACAGGGGTGAGCCACTGCACCTGGCCGAGCATACTGTTTGTAGACATTCCTAAGCTCCAAGTACATTCATTTATTCATTCATTCATGCATTCATTCAATGAATATTTTTGAGCCAGGCCTTGTGGTTTGTCTCAGAATATGAAGATAACAAGACACAGTTCCCCCACTCAAGGAGCTCACAGTCTATAATGGAGGCCAGTGAATACACAGGTATTTAGAGGATGGCGTTGGCCGGTAACATCTAGCAGTGAAAGGCCTGGACTTAGGAGCCAGTCAGTCCTGGGCTCAAGGCTGGGTTCTGCCACTAAGGACCCATAACACCTATTCTCGGAGCTCCGCTTTCTCATCTCAGAGCTGCCTAGGATAATGTGCTTAAAGCACTTAGCACAGAGCCATATGGTGACGTCAGCAAGTGGCAAGTGACTATACCCCTCTCTCTGCCTTGATTTCCTTATCCAAGTAATAGGCCTGTGAATCTGAATGCTAATTACTATTCACTGGCCACCCTCTAGGTATCAGACATTGACCTGGGCAGGCACTGTGTTAAGCCCTTTCTATCTATGACCTCACTGAAACCTTAAAACAGACTGGCAAGAGAGGTAGGCTCTTCCACTTTGCCATACCTGGCTTCCTGGGTGCAACATCCGGACTGATGTCTTTTATTGTTGTTATTGTTTTGTTCTGTTTTGTTTGGGACAGAGTCTTGCTCTGTCACCCAGGCTGGGGTGCAGTGGCATGATATCAGCTCACTGCAACCTCCACCTCCTGGGTTCAAGCGATTCTCCTGCCTCAGCCTCCTGAGTAGCTGGGATTACAGGTGGGCACCACTGCGCCTGGCTAATTTTTGTTTTTGGCTAATTTTTGTATTTTTAGTAGAGATGGGGTTTCACCATGTTGGACGGACTGGTCTCGAGCTCCTGACCTCAGGTGATCTACTCACCTTGGCTTCCCAAAGTGTTAAGATTACAGGTGTGAGCCACCCTGCCCAGCCAGGCCAATTTCTTCTTACAAGTCTTTCATCTTCTTTACGGAGCACAGGCTATAATCTCTCTTCTCCTAGACCCAATACTTCTTCTCTTACTACCCCAACATTTCCAGGTTCCTACTTTATATTTTTTAGAGCACTTGACATCACTATAATACATGTTTATATTATAATACTTCTTAGCTGATATCCCCAAATATATCCTATAAGCCCTGTGTTTTATCTCTCTCAAACACTAAGGTTTCAGGATAAAAACTAATATTTTGTAATGAGCCCTTCTTTTTATGAGGAGTGCTCCTCTTTAGCCCAACTGTGAAATTTCTTTATAAACATAATATTGACACTTTAATCCCAGATAATAGGATATTTCTTTTTGGCTAAATATTTTACTGCAGAGTCATAAAGCTGAACCACTTTTTCCTAACCCCCAGAGTCTGAGCTTGTTAATTCTCACTGGAAAAAAACTACAGGAAATGTAAATCATACTTCCTAATGGATCCAAACATTGAACCCATATTCACCAAATTATCTCATTGTGATTCCCTCTTTTTAAATTAGATAATATTTGGTTTATTTTTCAGACATAAATGGGGTGGGCAAGAGAATGAGCGGAGTCGGACTTGTTTTCGTGGCTGTAAGATGGAAGAAACAGAGGCATCATTCATTTTCCTAGCAAAAAAGTATTCCATGAGTCATAACATCTGAATTGTCAAGTATCAGGCTCTTGCTTAATCTGATTATGTATTTACAATAGCCTTACTATCTGCTTCACTGGGGAATTATAAATTTAAAAAGTACAAGTTCTCCAGCTATTTGAATTCTTCAGATCATATATTCGGTATTATAATTACTCCAGTATTTTAAAGAGGAGAAAAAGCAAGTAACTACTTTAAATATATCAATATGTTGTTAATGTGGTTTCTTATAAAACTATAAACCTATAAACAGTTTAATAGTTTTCCCCTAAATCCTGAAATCTAACAATATGCATTGTTCTTTTGTTTTATATTGATCGTAAATCTGGTAACACATTTTCATTTCTTGAGAATAGAAACTGTGTTTTTGTGTCTCCGCTATGGGCACCCTGTCTTTAAGAATGAATAGACATTTTTACGGTTATTATGGTTAAATAAAAATATATAGAAATGAGTAGAGGTGGAAGTGTTACAGAATGAAGATAACAAAGACAGAGATAAATGCAGACACCCCCAAGGGTATTCACGGTATGCAGATCGGATGCATAGATGGCAAGAGGTGATTTTTGAAGCCTCACTGTGTTCAATTTATTGAGCAGCTCTAGATGCCAGGAATTGTTCTGAAAGTTCCAGATATGACTAGTAATATGATAATAGCTACCATCTGGGAATGCTTCATGTATGTCAGGCAACGTGAAATTGATTTATCATTTAGTCTTCACGAGTCTGCCTTAAGTCGATCCCCTAGACTCAGAGCCTAGAAGGGATTCTTTTGCAAATGATTTTTTGGTGACTTTACTGAGGCAAGCAAGATAGGGTGGGGGAAAGGTCTTAGTAAGGATGAGGTCTCTGGAGCTTGCACTGGAGAGTTTGTCTCACCTGTGTCAGTGACTGCAGCGGGGAACATCTCAAGTAAGGGCCCTTCCCTTGAGGGAGGGCAATTCTACAGAGAAGGGCGGCAATCAATACCCAGGGCAACTGGAAGGTGGGTGTCCAGCCCTGGCACTGCCAGCCTCTACCACACACTGTGTGAGGTAGCTATTACTGTCCCCATCTATTAAATGAGGAACAAGGCCCAAAGAGTTTAACTTGCCCAGAATTATCTTTCAGTAGATTGGGATTTGAACCTAGGTCTGTCTGACTACTGGCTCTTGACTACATTGCCTCCGCTATACATACAATCATGGTGATGACTTCTAAGCTAAAGTCATGTGCAGTGTCCAGAAGTAATATAAAGAATTTTGATCTTTCTAGAGTAGTCAAGGCATTCAGTATGACATGGAGAAATAAAGCAAACCCTTCCTACTCCATGCACTAAATAGGAGGTAACTATGTCCTTAAAATCCAAAGTCAGAAAGCCAAGGAAGAAAGATTTTAGTGCATTTTTTGCTGCAGAATCCAATTCCTTTGTGCACCATAAATATAAAGGTATGGACATGCTAAGGCAAATGATAAGAGTAGAGTATTGTTTTGTAGCAGGACGAGCTGCAGACAAAACTCCTCAGACATGAGTTAAAGAAGGAAGGGGTTTATTTGGCTGGGGGCATCGGCAAGACTCCTGTCTCAAGAGCCAAGCTCCCTGGGTGAGCAATTCCTGTCCTTTTTAAGGGCTCACAACTCTAAGGGGGTGCGCGTGAGAGGGTCGTGATCGATTGAGCAAGCAGCGGGTATGTGACTGGGGGCTGCATGCACCAGTAATTAGATCGGAACAAAACAGGATAGGGATTTTCACAGTGCTTTTCTATACAATGTCTGTAATCTATAGATAACATAACCGATTAGATCAGGGGTTGATCTTTAACTACCAGGCCCATTGTGTGGCGCCAGGCTGTCTGCTTCTGGATTTCATTTCTGCCTTTTAGTTTTTACTTTTTCTTTCTTTGGAGGCACAAATTGGGCATAAGACAATATGAGGGGTGGTCTCCTCCCTTAGTTTCAAAGTAAAAATAGGTCCCTCATTAAATCAAGCTGGTAACAGCATTGCTGCTCTTCTGGAATGACCCTCCATGAGTCTCAGAAGTTAAGATGGCAAATGCCCTTTACTTTATAATGACCTGTTCTAAAACGGCACAAGCCAAAACCTGGCTAGGGGACCAAGAACATGTGCAGGGAAAAGAACCGGGCTAGGAGTTCATTCCTAAGTTGTTATCCTGGCTCTGCCACATACTCACTAGGTAACTGAGAGTACACATGTCTCTGAGCTTTATTTTTCTCATTTGTAGAAAAGAGACAATATTTTTCCTGATCTCCTGCTTCCTCTGGTTTTAACTGCTATCATTCTTTCTCCCCTCCTGTAATCCTAGATTTTCTCTTCTGCAAGACTTGATTTCTCCAGTCTACACTCAAAGTCCCTTCTAACTGTGTGACACTTATATAATTAACCTTGACAAACATCCACATTTACATTAAACTCATCTAAAATGGCTTTCAGCTATGACCAAAATGGTGTATAATACAGATATATGACAATTTTGGAGGTGACTGTATTAGTCCATTTTCATGCTATTGATAAAGACATACCCAAGACTGGGTAATTTACAAAAGAAAGAGGTTTAATGGACTTACAGTTCCATGTGGCTGGGGAGGCCTCACAATTATGGCAGAAGGTGAAAGGTATGTCTTACATGGCGGCAGACAAGAAATGAGTGCTTGTGCAGGGAAACTCCCCTTTTTAAAACCAACAGATCTTGTGAGACTTATTCACTATCATGAGAACAGCATGGAAAAGACCTGTCCCCATGATTCAATTACCTCCTACAAGGTCCCTCCTGCAACACGTGGGAATTCAAGATGAGATTTGGGTGGGGACACAGCCAAACCATATCAGTGACCGATAAACATGTGCATCACAATTCTAATTCCAAATATTATCCCACAATTATGAAGTGCATTGGACATTTTGACTTATATATTAAGGAAATTCTTTTCTTCACTTTTGGTTAAGACATTTAAAAAAAATAACACAGAGTGCCTTCCTCTCATTGTTCCCATTTGGAAGGGGTGAGTTTGCTTTACAACTAATTTTTGTCATCATCATTTCAGATAGGTTTGAAATTGGGTGACAGATTGTATTACCAGGTAATATTAGGCTATCTTGCTGATCTTTGTTTAGAATTTGGTTCGTCATCATCTCCTTAAATATCTGGAAAAAGAAGTATGAAAAAGTAAGATGATCTGCTTCCTTGATTCGACTCCAGTATGGTGATTAAATGAGTGTTTGCCTTGCTGCAGATCAATTATTTTGAGGACTCAGAATTTCTTGCTGTGTCTTGAACTGTGCTGATGGTTTTTAAGTAGGCCATAAAAATTCCTGTGAATGATTTGTTTAATTATTGTCTTGCTCCTCATTTACATTTTTATCTAAAACTCTGAGAACTGAAATCTGTATTCAATTCCATTTCCTGTGAGCTACAATTTGCCTTGTTGGGAGAAATATCTGGACTGTGTTTCATATATGGAATGATATCAACCAGGCAGAGTTAAATATCTGTAATTTTATTCTAATGGCTATAGACATAGCTCTTTTGTGCTGATTTTTAAAGGAATTAGGACAATATTTGATGGCTATTCAATAGTTTTCACTCTTTTACCTCACTTGAGTAATCATCAGGGTCTAAATGTGTTCAGACTTTGCTTTTCTGAATTAGGCCACCTGGGAATAGGGAATTCTATCCTCCTACATGACAAGACTGGTTTATACGGACTTTTTGGGGGCTATCCCCTTCATGATACACAAGTAACCAAATGAAAAGTAACACACTTAACCCACCATTAAGCCTTAGACTTAGAGATACTTTCAATATAATCACTTTACTACTGTAGCAATTGTGTTGTGATATAGTGGAAAGAACACTTTAAATTGTAGGATTTTGCTTTACAAACACCTCTGTGAGTCTCCACAGAAGTGTTTTTGAAAATCTGGAGTTCTGACTGAAATAAGAACTGTGAGGAAGTAAAATTCTGGAGGTGAAAAGCTGCAGTTGCAAAAGAAACAAAGCAAAACATTCCTGAGATATTTCTACCCAAACTGCCAAGATTGCTTATGTTGATGAGAGTAACATGAGCATGCACTGGAGTCAGGTTTGCATGAGTGAAACAGCTCATTTCTCCAGCACCTCAGTGGAGACCAAGTTCTAGTGGGGTGAGATGCCTGCTCAAGGTCTTTCATGAGTTAGTGGCAGATTCAAGATAAGAAATAGCAAATCTTGAGTCCAAGTCCAGTGTTCTTTCATCCTCGAACTGCTATAAATGTGACAAATTATCTTATTAGTTTAGCCTAGTTCAGCATTTCCTCAAGTGTGGGATGTTAATAGGTGTTATATGAAATAATAGTTTCATGGTCAAATGAGTATAGAAAATGATGTTAAATAAAATTAAACACATTTCTTCATTTCAGGCTTCTCTGAACCTTTAATATGTTAATATATATTGTGAATCTCCAAGAAGGAAATCAAATCTACAGCATTTCCCAAACTTATTTGACCATAGAATCTTCTTTTTTACAAAATAACTCATAGAAGATACTTTGAAAAGTTCTGGCCTTCCTGGTAGAATGTAACCTCTTTGTATCAGTTGATGTACTGATAGGAATTATAATTCAATCTAGGTGGTTCAAATGACAAGGCTAAGAAAGGAATTATATACACATATCTGGGCAGAGTTAAGGGAAACCAATAAAAGTTGGTGAAGTACCCCAGGGTGAGCAATGGGAGGAGCATTACTACCTCAATGAAGAAACAAGGAGAGTGCAAGCTCCAGAGTGGACCTGGGGCTGTTGGTGGGACCTAGCATCTCAGAGGGACATGGCTTCTGTCAGAGATGCAGTGATGAGGGAGGGAAGGAGTAGGGAAGACATGAGATAGAAATGTCCCAACTTTTTTCTCCTTTTTCTGTCTGATCTTGTTGATGCCCCTGCTGGTCAAATGTGACTGGAAGCCAGCCAGCCATGAAGTCTCAGTCATGCAGTCTCTAGGTTCAGCCTCTCAAAACCAGAGGTGTGTGAACCGCTTACCTAAGTGCTTTGCATATGTTAATTGTTTCCTTAAATTTCACAACAATCCTATAATGTAGGAATCATGCCCATTTACAAACGAGGAAACAGATACATGCTCACATAGCCAGTAAGAGATGGCTTCAGCCCCAGGTTTATTTGTCTGCCTTCCATTTTACCACATTTTACCACATTGCTGAGCCAGAAAATACCAGACTTTCAACACAAGCTTAAAGAATTTGCAGACAGAGTTCTTCATCTTCAACTTTGAGCAATTTCATCTTATCACTAACATGATTAATCCTCTAACAGAGTGAATAAGTTTAATGTGGAGGGGTTTTTACCCCCTGCAGGAGCAGGAGACCTTATTTTATTCATCTCTGTAACCTTACACCATAGCACAGTGATCAACACTGAGTTAATATTTGTCAAATGAATGAATAAATGCAAGAATGAATGCATGAGTAAGTGAATTGTAAATCAGCATTCCAAGGAGGTTTTCTCAGAGCTCTATTGGGACAGAATTGGCTTATCAGTCTATTTTTAAATGTTCTGGCTTGTTTGAAATGGGAACTTTTCCATATTGAGCATCTGCTCATAATTTTTTTTCTTGGATGGCTGTGATACCTCTCTTCTTACAACCCCCAAATATACACATTAAAAACACACATGTCACACCCATACGTTGTCCTTCTGCCTCCATCTCTGCCATACCAACCCTGTCTGTTCAGAGCCACCAGACCTATAAGATTAAACTCTGTAAGATACTGAGATCACCAAATTATAGATCAGATCTTTTCTATTTCCCTCAAAATTCTATAGTAGCTCCCTATTGCTCATTAGCTTAATCCATATCTGTTGAATTTAATTGAAAAATACATTTACCATTCTAAAATTTTCATTTTTCTGTAGTCTGACTCCAACAAACCTTACTCCGTCAATTGTTCCACAAGGAACTCTCATAAAAGGTCAGTCTAGAATTCTCTCTCGAAGTTGCTATGCTCACTCCTCCCTCCGTGCTTTTAGCCATGCATGTTCCCCACCCCTACAATGCCCTTTCTCCTTCTTGTATTCATTCATTTATTCCTTGACTCACTCACTGAGCTCTTCCTATATGCCAAGCACTATTGTGCTGAAGGGGATACCAAGAAAAATGTAGTTTGGTCTCTGAGAAACGCACAGTCTTTCATGGGAATCTGACACATTAATCAAGAAAATATAGTTCAGTGTGCTGAATATTCCAATAAGGGCATGGGGCCAGGGGAGACAGCCAGGGACTGGCAGCCCCAGGAGTTCAGGAATAGTGTCTATTCCAAGCACTCAGAACACAGTTCTCTCTATGTTCTGAGCTCAATAAATAGTGGGAACTCAATAAATATGAGTGAATGAATGAATGAGACAATATTTTAACAAGATGCTAAAGAATGTATATCTGTATCTTTTAATACCAGCTCAAGTTTTTCTTTCTGCCCACTGTAAAGTAACATGATCTTACAGTTCTTCAAGTCTTCTCTCAAACATGCTGTTTTGAATCATTCTCTATTTTATGCACCCAATGATAGTGAGAGTATCTAGTAAACCCCAATGATGACTTGCAAATCTTTCATTCATATACCATCTAGCACTGTGCTGGATGTACAGCAAATGATCTAGTTGAGTTGATTCAGTTGAACTGAATCTAATAAAGTTGAGATATCTGTATAGATATGTCCATTTGAAAGTGGGAAGCTTGAATAGTGTTTTAGGGTTGATGAAATGGGTCCATTATTCCTAAGGTAGTGCTTATCAAACTTTAATGTTACAAATGACCTGGAGATCTTGTTGCAATACAAATTCTGACTTTAGGGGATAGTAGTTGAGATTTCCTATTCCTAATATCCTCCTAAGTGGTGATAATACTGCTGGCCTGTGGACCTCAGTTGAGTAGTAAGGTACTGAAGGAAACAAGGACAGAAAAATGACACTCATTGAACTCATATTATATATTAAGCATTGTATAAGGCTCTTCAAAACATCAAATCAATGTTTTTCATCTTAGATTCATAGACTGGTTACATTCAGATTATCTGAAGGTGTTTTAAAATATACAAATCCTTAGGACCCACTCTAGAGATTCTGATTCAGAGGGCCTAGGGTAGAGACAGAGAAATCAGTATCTTTAAAGGCTCCTCAGTGAATTTGATACCCTGGGTAGTCAGAATTCTACGACTGATTCTTACCTTTGTATAATTTCCTCCCCTTTGTGCATGGGTGGAAACTGTGAACAAGATAAGCTATCGCTCTTGTGATTATGTCACATTATGTGTCAAAATGGAGATTATCTGGGTGGGTCTCATCTAATCACACAAGCCTTTTAAACACAGAATTTTCCCTGGCTTGTGGCAGAACAAAAAGTTGGAGAGATTTCAAGTGTGAGAAGGAGTTGATGCACCTGCTGTTGACTTGAAGGTGGAGAGGGTCATGTGAGAAGGGATGCAGGTAGCATTAGGGGTTGACAGTAGTCCCTGGCTGACAACCAGCAAGGAAACAGGACCTCACTCCTACAACTGCATGGAACTGAATTGTGCCAACCATCTGAATAGGTTTGGAAGCTGATTCTTCCCCAGGGCCTCCAGTTAAGAGCCCAGCCCCGTCAACATCTTGACTTCAGCCTTGTGAGACTCTAAGCAGATACTTTAGTCTGGTCTGCTCAGACTTCTAACTTGCAGAACTGTGGGAGAATAAATAGATGTTGTTTTAAGCTGGTGAATTTGTGATAATTTCTTATGCAGCAATTGAAAACTAATACGTATTTATCTAGGTTTGGCAATTAATAGATGAGGCTCAGAGGGGTTACGTTATTTTCTCACAGTCTCACACTTAATAGCAGAACAATCATTTGAATTTAGATTTTTTTTTCTCCAAAGTTTCCTAATTCTAAAAAAGGAAAATGGTCAATCATTTGGGAAATAGGGAGACTGGAAGACATTGAAGAAGAAATACTCTAGTCAGTATATGTTGAGAAAATGAGTCCTATTTATTTGATGTGGCTACAGAAATTACAAATTCCAATATGCTCTCTATATAAGATAGTTTAATGGTCTGAACAAATATGGGAGGGTTGAGATATTCTTTCTGGCTTAATGTCCCATAATTCGTGAGTTAGAGGTGACTGTACAGTCAAATTCTCTTGATAGTGGCTCTGAAAGTTGGTAATGCAATCAGTATACCAGGAGACCAAGGACAAATGGCTGGGCTTCCTTCTTAACCAGGGTCTTGCATCCTCCTAGCTATTAAAGAGAGCATTTAGGTAAGACTTTGACAGTGTTTCATCAACCTCCAAGAACAGAACTTAGTGCATCATGATGTCAGCTGGCATATAAAACATTGAAACTCAATGAAGCTATTGAATCAGGAGTAATCAGTCCTGTAGAAGATACAAAGTATGATGTGTGCTTGTTTCAACCTGGTCTTTACATTCAGTTTTTTCTCTGTTCACTCAGATACTGAATAGGGAATCCTAGATAACAGAAAGATTCACTCATTCATTCATTCATTCATCTGTTCTTCATACATACAGATTAAGCTCCTCCTGGTGTGCTAGTGGGATATGGAGGCAACTGGACCTCATTATACCAGTTTTGACACAAAACAAAATGCATCTTCTTAAGAAAGAGTAAAAATAAAAATCCATCCCCAATTCTGATGTCATCTTTTGAAAAGAATTTCAAACTATATTAATCTGTTTGCACAAGCAAGTTCCAAAAATATGTAATAGAAATTCTACAGAAAGTCATCCAAGAATAATTTATTTAGCTCTTTCAAGTAGGGGCTGCATTAGCTTCACTCACTGATGTTCATTCATGTCATTCATTCATTCATTCATTTGTTCAGGGAATATGCACTGGGCACATTGTATGTGCTACCACAGAAGGCAAAGGTGGAAAATCAAACAAAGTTTTTGCCCTGAAAAATCTAGCACAGATGACCAAACTACATTAAGAATATAATAGATTTAGTGTGCAGAGTACTCTGATACAGGGAAAACTGTCCCCAGCCATGAACTCTTGTTTGCAGAAGTGTAACCCATAAACCAGAGGAACTGTGCAAGTAGCTTTGACTGCTGGGCTGAATTTTTCCGTATTTAATCTGCTTGTAAAACCCTCACTCTCCATTTCTACAGCTACTCCATCAGGAATTTTGATGAACTAGAGGACAGGAAGCCTATCTGTATGTTAAAAAGCTGAGGTATTGCATAGTGCCTTCTGGATTTTTCCTCTGACAAGTGGTTGGCATCTGCTAACAACACTTCTTTTCTTGAGCTTTGTAACGTTGCCAGACTGAAAACTGAGCTTTGAAAAAGGAGATGGAGCTGTTAACAAACGCCTTTGTTATCTCTGGAATTGATTATTGTACAGTGGTTCACAGAAAAAAAAAAAAAACTTGATGTGTATCTTGTCTCAATATTTACCTGCTCCTCCCAGGAAATATTGTGCTAAGAGAAATTCCCTGCAGTACAACAAATGTCAACCTGCCTAAGATAACTAGTGCAATTCACCAATCGACTGTCTTTTTCCCATCTGTGGAAACAGTATGATAAGACTCCAGGAAGAATTTCTTATTAAGTGCTTGGAGATCTTTTGAATTTGATGGCTGCTTGAAGTGTTTAATATACCTTTTCCCCCTTCTTTCATTTGAGAAATACTTATTTAATCCTTCTGTGTGCCAAGCTCTTTGCTGGCCTCTTAGATTACACTAATGAATGAAACAAACCCAAGAGAAGATGTGCCTCATGAAGATTATGCCTGGTGTAGGAGAGGAAGATTCTATAAGCAATTCCAGTACATGATGATAAACCAAGATTGTGAAGTACATGCGCTGTGAGAGGTAGTGTAGTAGGAAATCAAAGACAGCTATTTTGAGAAAGCGATTTTTAAATGGAAACTGGATGGATAGGTGGGAGTTAGGAGTTACTCAGGTAACTGGTGGAGGTGGCAATAAAGAATAAGGAGGCATCGTTTTCTAAGCAGAGAGACCATCCTATAAAAAAGATTCCCAAGTGAAAGAGGGCATTACAAATGACTTTGGGTGAGTGGCATAATTTCCTTAAGCCTTGATTTTCTCATCTCTAAAATAGGAATGATGATAAAACTTACATGATAGTTCTTTAAGGATTAATTTGAAAATCCATGTAGAGCATTTAGTTCAGTATTTATTAGTAAGTACTCATGAAATGTTAGAAAGTATTTATTCATTTATTGAGGATCGAAGAAAAAAATCAAGATTAATATGGTTTAGCTTCCTGATGTTTTCTCCCAATTTCATACACCAGGCCCTCTTTGCAGCTAGAACATAGCCTATGTTGTACACAAGAAGGTCTCCAATGTCCAGATGTAGCAAATATTTGTTGTTGATAGGTTTGTGTACGACTTCAAATTATCAGCTCTTTGTAGACAAGTGCCGTGTCTTATTTATGTCTGTGTGCACTCACATATTGTAGTGCCTGACACCAAATAGTTTCTCAAGAAATGTTTCATGAATGAATGAATGAATGAATGAGCAGAAGAGCATGGGAAAAAACAGAAGAGTATGCAGTAGAGTGGAGTGGAATACAATAGAATCCAATAGAATCCTGTCGAATCTTACTAATGAGCTAAGTGCTGCAGAAAATTCAAAGAAGAGTCGCTCTTTAATTCTGTCACGAAGAAACTGTGCAAGGGTGGATGAAAGATTCTGTTGCCCCAGGCTGCCAAAAGCTTGGAACAGCAGGGCAGTAAAAAGCACACTCATCCTAGGGATCTTCCCTTTTGCCTTAGGGAATATATTTTGAGCATTGAATTTCTTCCTTATGCCTCCCTCATGGCAAAATGTACAGCTAAACTCTGCTACATAATAAAAAACATAAGACCCCTCAAAATGTAAATCCTTATTATATTGTGATTTCAAGAATTATATGTACATACCTTTTATAATATGGATATTTTCAAAAATATTTTAAATATTTCCAAACATAGCAATAACCTTGGTGGCTTTGCACTTCGCTCTAAACCTTGCAGTCTATCATATACAATCCACTATCATTAATCCTGTTCCACATGGGAGATTGAGGCTCCACAAAGCCACTGAAGCTGTCCAGGGTAGAACAGTTGGTAAGTGGTACAGTTGGTACCTCAGACCCTGACTAGGTCCTGTGTATGCCATGACAAGAGGGAATAGATGCTTTTTAAAGGTAAAATATGAAGCCCTTGCTACCTTTATGTTTGCTAAACACATTCATTTTATATATTATATTGTTATATTTCTTTTCTTGTAGATCTAATGGTACTTCCCTACTAATCTATTTATCTTGATCTCATTCTTGTTTGGGGGTTCTTCTTAAGTTTTACCTCCTTCAAAGAGCCTTCCTTGAGTATGCCAAGCCAGACTGACTACAGCCTCCTCTGAACTCTGTTGTTAGGCCATCCTATTTACATCCCTGGATTAGTGCTCTGCAAGCACTACATTATATATTAGTTTTCTTCTTATTTACATGCTAGATCCTTCACTCAATAATAAACCACCAAATATTAGACCTGAAAAACTCTTAAGTTCAAATCTTAGCACCATCACTCCCGAGAGCTGTGTGTCCATGTGCATGTTAACTTCTCTGTGCTTCTGTTTCTTCATTTAAAAAATGGGAGCAGTACGACCCTCTCATAGGGTTGTTGTAAGAAGAAAAATGAGTTAATACATGCAAAGCACCTGGCAGTTGTCAGTAGTTGTTAGCTATTTTCTTAGGTCAATGTTTGAAGATATAGAATTCATTCCTTAAAGCTATATCTAAGGAAAGAAAGTACTGGAGTTCTGTGTTTTATGCACTTCATTTGTGGGTACCCCTCACTCCACAAGAACACCTAGAACTCCAAAGAACATAGTTTAAAAACCACTGATTCTTTCAATATTTTTTATGGATTTAAAAAACAAAGGCCTAGAGAGGTGACATGACTTCTGTAAACTCACACAGCCAAAAATAGGCAGGGAAGTCTGATCTTGGGCCATTCCTTTTACACTTACACTATACAAGACTATATCTGGCCGGTGCAGTGGCTCACGCCTGTAATCCCAGCACTTTGGGAGGCCGAGGTGGGTGGGTCACCTGAGGTCAGGAGTTCGAGACCAGCCTGGCCAGCATGGTGAAACCCTGTCTCTACTAAAAATACAAAAATTAGCCGGGCGTGGTGGCAGGCACCTCCCAGCTACTTGGGAGGCTGAGGCAGGAGAATTGCTTGAACCTGGGAGGTGGGGGTTGCAATGAGCCAAGATCGTGCCATTGCACTCGAGCCTGGGGGACAAGGACAAGACTTTGTGTAAAAAAAAAAAAAAAAAAAAAAAAAAAAGAGTATATCTTATCCTTTATGTATTCCATTTCCCTCCACTCCCACCTCCCCTTAGCAAAGAGCCCTCCATGGTTTCATTCATTCACTGAGGATATAAATATTATATTATTAAGACAAGACCCTGCATTTGTGGAGCTCACACTCAGGGAGGAAGATAGAAACCTAACAGATAATTACGACAGAAGAGAACTGGAGCAATGATAGAGGTATGCACAGGGGCATGAATGAGGGATAATTAGTCCAGCCTTCAGCAGAAAGTGAAAAGATGAGTAAGAGGTAACAAGACAAATTGAGCAGTTGGGGGCATTCCTGACAGAGGGCGCAGCCTGGGCAAACACACAGGGTCAGCAAATAGCATGATGTTTTCCAGAAACAGATTAGTTTCCTTTTTCCTAGTAGAACATAATGTGCAAGACAGGAAGTGTGGAGAAGGGGCTGATGAGAAAGTCAGGCATCAGATACTAGGGGTCAGATGGAGGGAGGAGGGGTGTAATGCCATGTCAGAACATCTGAGGATTGCTTTCAGTTTCTAGAACTACATATTTTAGTTTAAAGTGGAGTGGGTTTATGTTTGAGGGAAAATAGAAAAACAACCCATGTTTCTGAAGGAGCATTAAAACGGAGCATCACCAAATGTATGTTTGTATCTTCTGAAGTGATGGAAGAGGGAAAATTCTCCCCAACATTAGACCAGTGCAGAAGTGCTGAGAGTCAACAAAATAAAGACGTTGACCAATAACTCTGTGTGTTGCTGTGGTACAGATCTGCTTTGATAAATGGAGAGTCAGCCATGAGGAGAGTTGCCAAATACTGTTCAAAGCTTCCTTAGTTAGCAGCACTTGTACTCTATTTCTACCTGAGAACAAATTTCTCAAATCAGATAAGGGCAGGGGAAGGAAGGAGAGCATCAGGATAAATAGCTAATGCATGCGGGGCTTAATACTTAGGTGATGGGTTGACAGGTACAGCAAACCACCATGGCACACGTTTACCTATGTAACAAACCTGCACATCCTGCACATGTATCCCGGAACTTAAAATTAAATTTAAAAAAATCAGATAAGGTACATTTGTGCAGAGTTTGAGGAGAGACACCTAATGGATGGCTTAATTCTGGCCACATGTGGGAACTGGCAGTTTGAGGTACCCTGGTCCTGGGGTCTGCAGGACCTTCCTTATTGTGGCCGAGGGCTGGCGAATGTACCTATGCAGAGAGAATGAAGGGGCCTCTGTAGCTGTGACAAGGAGTCCTGGCAGCTAAAATCTATTTATTAGTGTCTCTACTCCTCCCCTGCTGTTATATTAATATAATGAATTGTTCACAGGTGCATCAAATGAGGTTTAGATGATCACTCGGAGCTTTGTTATCCAAACAGGCCAAATTAGGAAGAGCAGATGCATCAGGCAAACTACAGTCCCATTGCAAAAGCATAACACTTGAATTAATGAAGGTCAGAGCTCACATTTGGCCTTGATGGTCTTCACAGCAAGAGGATTCAGTCTTCTGTTTAACTCTTGCTTGCCAGGAAGTGCTCTTTGCCTTCATTTCTGTGTGGCTAGGATGGATGGGTTGAGTGTCCAGTGGAAATGGTCTTCTCCCTCCAAATAAGAATAATAATAAGAGCAAAGGCACCTATGGATTAGGTTTTACCATATTATATTTCCATGCACATGAAAGCTCCCAAACAAGGGGATGGGGACGAATGAGGGCTGAAATTCATCCTGTGTTATGCTCACCATACTGTGTGCCCTGAATGAGCTACATCCTCTGGAGGAAGGAACATCTTTTTCTAAGTGTCACAACTAATGGTTTGTTTGCTCAACTAATGGTGCTCTCTAGCCTTTGCACTTTTCTGGAAGGAGGGCCTTTTTCTAATCCTTACAAAAGTGCCCGATGAGCTAGTGGTAGCCCCACAAATATTATCCCTCATCTTTGCAACACCACTGTAAGGTGGGTATAGTGTTAGGATCCCTGTCTTACAGATTAGAAAACTGAGGGCCAGGAATATTAAGCAACACAGTGAGAGTTACTCATGGCAGAACAAGAATTTGATCAAATGCTGAAACAAATTCCACTTCCCTTGATGCCTTAAACTAAAATAGTTTTCTTCTCCTCAACGCTAGCTCCAGGAAGAAGAATGAGAAAGAGGAGAGAGGATATGTGGGCAGAGTGGCATGAGAACAGCATTGGCTCAGTAGTCAAGGGGATCTAAGTTTAATCTTTGTTCTATGTAATTTGCTTTGGATCGTGGATCTGGTGACTGTTCTAAGTCTGTTTCTTCCTCTGTAAATTTAAGGTTTTGCTAGATGGTGATCTCCAAGGTCTCTTCTAGTTTAATGTCCAAGAAATCCAATGAGTTTTTACTTTGGTTTATTTTTTCATAAGAGAATATTAAGAATACAAAGACCCCATGTATTTCAGAGGGCAATCTGGCCACACATACCAAAAGCCATAAAAATGCTCATGCATACTCTTATACACAATACTTACAATTTTGGAGAATATCCCAAGGAAATTATAAAAAATAAGAACAGAGCTGAGTGCAAAGGTGTGGCATTTGTCACCATGACAAACTGCAAACATCTAATACCCCACAATAGGAGAATGGTTATATAAATTGTAGCATACATATATGATAGGATGGTTTTCCATCATAACAATAATATTTCAAATGCTTTGAGTATTGGTGATACCTTTCCAAGTAAAAATATGCATAGTGTTTATGAAATAAAATTAAGTGAAAAACATGGAGTTTAAAATTATAGATAAATTATGTCATAAGTGTTGAAACCATTCACAGATTGATTGAAAGAGAACACAATGTAAAATAGTTTATTTTGATAATAGGTTCATGAGTAATTTAGAAAAATTAAGTTTATAATTTTTAAAACTGATTATTATCACTTTGATCAGTTAAAGGTTTTCATCAAAACTTTTTGACTCACATGTTTCTCTTTTGATTATAAAAGTAATACTCATTATTTAAATTTTAAAATTCAAAATAACTATAAAGAAAGAAAATCATTCAAATTCCACTCTTCAGAGGCAAAAGATTTTGGCCTTTTTCTGGTCTTTAAACATCAATTTTGGTTTTCTTTTACTTAGATACATTGCACTCTCTAAATTTTAATCTTGTTCAGCTTTTTCATGAGTTGATTTTATATCATATTTTAATATGTCATTAAAAAGGTTTGGAAACACGAATAATGCATAATTTAATACGTCACTTAATTCCAACTCTGTTAGATATTTATATTGTTTTCAACATTATGCTAAATAATCCTAACATGGTTTTTATAATGTATAAATCATTGTCCAAATTTTGGATTATTTGCTTATGATAGAGTCCTAGAATGCAAGAGTAAATACCTTTTGTTTTAAACCAAAGCTTCTTATTTCTGAGCTTTATATTTAATGAATTTGGAAGTTAGTAAAAGTTACTCATTCACGATTTTTTTTTTTTCTCAAATAGGAGTACCTGAATGGCATATTTTTTGAGTCCTTGCACATTTACCTGTTGCTATCACACATTCAATAATTTAAGTTTGACCTATTTGCCTTACAGGAGTAAACAGAGATATGGGTGTTTATAGTAAAGTTTATAATACAGTTCTGTTTATAATTATAAAAAAAATTTAAATGAGCAACAGCAAAGCATTAGTTAAATAGTTCATGATACAATGGACTACTATAGAAATGTTTTAGAATACTTAACACCACCAGAAAATGTTCATGACACATTGAGGAAAAAATTACAAAAGAATATATATAGTATGTATACATATGTGCTACAAATAAATGTATGTAAATATACTTACATATGAAATGTATTACTGGAAGGGGAGCACACACACAAACACCAAAATATTTGCTGCAATTTATTAAGGAGGCAAGATAAACCACCTTTCTTTTCAGGCTCTACATAGATGTGAGTCTGTTGTTATTGATTTCACCTAAAGTACAGCAAGTTTTTCTCATTCATAGGCCCAAATTGGCTGTCATTTTGCTCTTTGTTTTTCTCTCAGCAAAGTTTTCTTCAATTATATCTTTGATTATTGCTTCTGTTTTAATTCTTCTCATTGGCTCCTTGGACAATCCTGTAATCCTTAGGCTGGATTTTTCTCTACTGTCCTCCATCTTCTTTCTCTTTCTTACTTTCTTTCTTGGGAGTTTAAACTGCTTGTATTATTTTTCTCCCTCTGGGAGTTTTCACATCTCTGCTCTTCATCACAAATTCCATTGTTCCCAGTGTCAGTTCTGTTCTTTTACCACTTCCAATGCAGACTTTCATTTTACGGTTACATTTTAAGTTCACCTCCGTCCATCCTCTCTTCTTCTGGCTTTTGGCTTCCCTTTCATGGAGATCATATCTTTCTGTATACATTGAGAATGCCAAATGGATTTTCCAAAATTACTTCTAATAGAGATCTAGCAGCAGATAATTTTCAGAAGTCTTCTGAATACATCATTCCTGTTTCCTTGTTCTATAGCACTTTTTCACTCCCCACATTGATTCTGTTTGCCTATGTAATCATCCTTTAACAGAAGAGATCTATTCAGACCTAGTTTTTGCTAACAAATGTAATATGTGAATGGCTCTTGAACCCAATTTCTGTCCACTGCCATGCTGGTCAGATTTCTCTAACAGATCTGTATCTAGATGACAGGTTGGTGCACACAGTTCTTAGTCCAATTCTCCGGTCTACCACATGTTTGTGAAATGCTGAACTGAGACAGGCTCTTTCTTCTCCTCCCTCCTCAAGGCAGAAGGGTCTCTGATACTCTGATAAGATGAAGTGTAGATGAGGAGCAGTGCTCAGGATTTGCTGCTACAGGATCCCTCGTTTCTTTGTCTATCATCTCTGCCAATTTTATAATTTCATTTGTGAAAATGGGGCCTCGCAGAATTCATCACATTGCCATTAATATTTTGTTTTTCTTCCTGATTCCAATTTTGTTTGTCTTTTTCATTCTGGGGGTTATGATTTGGAGAGGGTTTAAAAAGAGAATTCTGACATGGAAGGTTAGAAATGGCATTCTGAGTTCTACTTTTCTCTTTCAAAAATGGGTCCAGTTTAGGAGAGGTTTGTCTGCCCAGTTTTCAAGTTGATACAGGTCGGAAATTTCAGAATCAAAGAGGAGATAGCTAAGAAGGCCAGAAGAAGCATCTTTCTTAGAATCATGCCTTTCTTAGAAAGGCATCACACTGTTGGAACATTATATTTTAAAATAACTCAATGGTTATAGTTAATGTGAAAATCTTAAATACTTTTTGTTACTACCTTGATACTGATTATTGGTATATTTTTATGAGTTTTTTTTCTGCCTTTATGAGAGGATTGAGAGAAGCTTCCTCCAACCACTTTTCAAATACTATTTTAAACCACAGTCCTCTGGCTATTAAAATTTACTAATAACTTTGTTTTAATATTGAGTATAAATGCAAATCTATCAAGCATTTTTATTTTAAATTTACTTTATGCTTTGAATTCTAATATGGAGCCTATTCCTGGTGATCAGAACCTCAAAGCCAACAACATCTGCAATTTTTCTGATTATGACTGATTTGATTTCTGTGCCAGTGTTAGTCTCTTTTAATGGTGAGAGATGCTGTGCTTTTGAATAATTTTCAGCAATTTCTTCATTGAAAACTGAGTAACCATTGGCAGCTTTGACTGCCTTATATAAAAAACTGTTGAAAAAACTGAATGTTTAGCTTTGAAAAGAGAAAAATGAAATACCTGAGCACTGAACTTTTACTATTTGAAATACTGCTGTGCATAAGAGAAGAAGCTCACTCTGTGTGATCCTAGGAAACAGACCTAGTGACAATAGGTGGATGTTACAGGGAAATGAGTCCTAATGTTAGATTGTATGTTCTTAAAGGATCCTGTTAGCTTTTGTTCGTTGCATCCACAGAATAAAACACAGTGCCTTAACCACAGTAGATATTCAATAAATGTTTATTGAGTAAATGTTGTTAATAATTTCAAAGAAATTTTTAATGATGAATTCAGGCAGAGGATGGACCATCATCCAACAGCAATGTTCCGCAAGAAATCCCTGACTAGAAATGACAGATATATTAAATCGTCCCAAGTTTTCTTCCAACTCTAAGTTCTGTGGCCCTGGGTCCCAGCTGAAGATTAGGAGAGAGGGTCTTTTCTCTTTATTCCATGTTCAACAGGATTATGAATGATGCAGCTTGGTGATGTGGAGTCTAGGGCCCTGCCTTCTAGACCCAATTTAGCTGGCTACGGCACCTTGGGCAAATAGCTTCACTGTGATGGAGAAACCATGCCTACTGCAGTAATTTACGTCTTCATTTCTTGCCTGCTTATTAACACTGGTCTCCTAAGTGGTTTCCTGCCTCTAGACACCCTTATCTAATTCACTCCCCACACTGTGGTTTTAGGGATCTTACTAAAACCTACCCTAATCGTAACATTCCTCTCTTTGAAACTCTTCCCCATAGCCTACAGATAAAGCCTGAACTCCCTTGTAATAATTAAGAGACAAGGCTCCAGCATCAGACTCTACAAGTTTAGATTCTGATGCTGTTTATTCCCAGATGTATCTCAGTTTCCTCATCTGTAAATTTGGGATAATAAATATTGCTACCTCAGGTCTGTGAAAATTAAATATCAAGCACAGCACCTGATCTATAGACAGAAAAGTTGGTTGCTTCACAAAATGACCCGTCCCTTCCTATTCAATCTCATCCCTGCTACCCCTAGGAACTGTTTATATGCCAAGCATAATTACTTACATGCAAAGTCCTCTGCACATGCCAAGCAATGGTCCTTGTCTTTGAACATGCTTTTCCCTCTACCTGAAATCCCATTGGCACTTCCTCTGGGTTGAGGTTACCTTTTACCTTTTGAATCCAACTCTGTGTCTCCTCTTCCTTCCCTAGTTGTCCTCTCCCTATTAGACAAAGTTGCCCTCTCTCCTTTGTACCAATTACTGTTTTTTTCATGTATCTTTATTAAAGCACTTACAGCACAATATTGAAATTATTTTATTACATTCTCCCTTCTCTACCAGACTGATATTTTTTTGAAGATAGAGATTTCTTTTTGTTTATTGATTTTAGAATCCCCAGTGCTCAGCTTAATTACTGTAGGCATATAGTAAAGGTCTGTTAAGCGAGTGAAAGGTTTCTGGGGTCTTTAGCCACAATAGTAACTTTTCCTCCCGGTCTAGAGAACTATCTTCAACAACCTGTCATATTGGCTTATGGAGACTTCCTCATTCTCCTTTATAACTCCACTTTTTAAAAAAAATTTTACGTTTAGGGGTACATGTACAGGTTTGTTAAATAGGTAAACTCGTGTCACATGGGTTTATTGTACAGATTATGTCATCACCCAGGTACTAAGCCCAGCACCCAATAGTTATTTTTTCTGATCCTGTCCCTCCTCCCACCCTCCATCCTCAAGTAGACCCCGGGGTCTGTTGTTCATTTCTTTGTGTTCAGGGGTTCTCATCATTTAGCTCCCACTTAAAAGTGAAAACATGCAGTATTTGGTTTTCTGTTCCTGTGTTAGTTTTCTAAGTATAATAGCCTCCAGTTCCATCCATGTTCCCACAGAAGACATGATCTCATTCTTTTTTATGACTGCATAGTATGCCATGGTATATATGTACCATATTTTCTTTATCCAGTTTGTCACTGATGGGCAGTTAGGTTGATTCCATGTCTTTGCTATTGTGAATTATAACTCCCCTTTCAAGATGGTTGAGAATGGGCTCTGTGAGTATAAAATGAGAATGAACAGGAACCGCATTCACTATAAGTCATCTGAGCATCTAAAGAACAGAAGTCAGAACTTGGCATAGTAAACCTAACCCACAAGCACCTTAGCTACAGGTTTGCAATAAGTAAGGCACCTGGTTTGTGGATGTTCTCTCTTCCAGGCCGAAAGGGAAACTAGATATAGGGAAATACTTGTGAAAGAGTCTGGGAGGGGTTGCTTCAACAGGGATTCAAAAACTAGTAGAATTAACAAGATTATCTTCTTTCAAAAGACACCTAATCAGTAGGATTTTGTCTTTCTTCTTTTTTCTTCTTTCATGTGTTTGGAGAAAAAAAGAAGTAATGTCTACTATAAGTAGTTATAACTTTTTTATGAGATAAACTAAAAATACATTCAATACCATATAATGCACTTACATCTTAGGTTGTAATTAATGCAAATTATGCAAAATTCATATACAATGTGATTAGACTTCTCTAACACATAATTTATGGTTGAATTAACAAAGAAGCTGATTAAATGAGAAAATTAATTTCTGTTGTTATCCTATTTTTTTGTTATATTTTTGTTAAGAATATATCTGAGGACTCAAAGAAATTGGATTACAAACTTGGAGCTGTAGTTAGGAGTATTTATTTCACTCCTTTACCTTCTTCAGATCGGCAAACCTACAGAATTGCATCATGCTTTCTGATAATATACTGAAGAACAAGTTTCAGTAAAACAGTATGGGGCTCCTTTAACTCCAAAATATGAGCACATGGATGTTTCTCCAACTAACCAGAATACATTTTTTAAATGGCTTATTGGCCAGAAGCATTTTCTTGAGTCTTATTTAAAAGCACTTCAGCAGGTTTTCTCATACATGAATACAGAAATTGCATATATGGTTAAATCTTTTCCGTGCTTGTAATTCGAGTGGTGGAACTGAATATAAACTTTGGAATAGAAAAGTAATTGGAGCTCTTTCTCATTTATTAAGAAAATACACTCTGTAAAATGATGATAAATATTCACAGACATAACTTTCATCTCTCAGACAATAAGATTCTTGATCCATGTCTGTATCTTCTTAGTTTCTCTCCCTTCTTTCTACCCCTTTCCCATGTAATCAGCTCCTAAATTTTACCAGTTTACTTCTACAATATTCTTCCTTCTCTCCTTCCCTCCCTCCTTCTTTTTTCTTTTCTTTCTTCCTTTTCACTCTGCCTTTTCTTCCTTTCTGTCTTCCTCCCTTCCTTTTTTCTTTTTTCCTTCATTCCTTTCTTTATTTTTCCCTTCCTCTCTTCCTCCCTCCCTCTTTCTCTCTTCTTTCCTTCCTCCTTTTCTTCCTTCTTCCCACATCTACTGAGTGCCTACTTTGGGCCAGGTGCTGAAAATACAATGGTGTTTAGAACAAGGCAGATAAGGTCTCTATTTGCAAGATGCTATTGTAATATCCTTTAAATTTTTCATTTTCTGCAGAAATGGAATGAACTGTTCCAAATGTACTAGTGGAGCCTGGCACATAGGATAATAAGAGTCTAAGAACAGGACCAGGAGAGGAGATTAGTCTAAGGACCACCCCGCGCCCCCCACCACCATCACCAGCACCACTACCACTTCAGTTTCATCCTGGTGGCAGTTCTATCCCTGGGGCAGAGATAAAACGTTCAGGTTGTTTTCATTTCCCAACTGGGTGACTTAGGGCAAGTTATTTCATCTTTCTAAGCCTCAGCTTTCTCATTTTGATAACTTGTCTGTCCTGGAAAAAAATGTCCTGGTCATGCTGCTTTTAACCATTAATGCCCACTGACCATTTTATTTCTCATCCTAAAGAGTAAGCTAGAATTCAAGTATATTCATCAGTCTCTTGTGAGGTTTGTTACTATGAGTCAATATTCCAAGCCCACTCACTTTTAAGACAGGAGAAGATTAATTTTATGACTTTAAGTCTCAGGTCAGATATTATCACACCACTGCACTCCAGCCTGGGTGAGAGAGCAAGACCATGTCAAAAAAAAAAAAAAAAAAAAAGGGGGGGTGCAGAGAGAGACTAAATCCTAAGCTCTAAATAATAGCTTAGGATGATTTATTCAAGGTAAGTACCATCTCATGGGGCCTATGGACAGCTGGTCAGTCTCTCTTGGGATGATACTCTGGAAGAATATGCCGTCTTTCAAACTTCCTGAGGTGGCTATGAGGGTCACGTGCAATAATGAATGAAAAAGTGGCTTTGTAAATTATAAAGCACTTTGTGTAATAAGGTTATAAAGGAACCTTACTGGTACAAGCCTCAGCTTTAGCCTGCAAAACAGACTGGATCTTCCAGCACATGATGAGATGCCAAGGTAAAGTGATAGCTCAGAAAGAGTTCCAGTTAATAATTCCACTCCCCCTACAAGGATTTTCACCCTCTCCCCGCAAAAAGAGAGAAAAAACCTGATTTTTAATATCAAATCCTCCCTGCTGATTCCATGAAAGCCTGGAAACAGCAGGTAACAATGTATAAGCGACTTTGAATTAAGACTGAACTCTCTGCGTCCTTCGCTTCTCCCTCAAATGTGGAATGATTTTCTAAGAATTTAATTATCTAAGAACACAGCATCAAAGCTGTTAGACCCTTGTTAATGTTAATTCAAACTTAATGTGCATGAGATTTAGAGATCTCGGATACAAGGAAAATGATTTCAATTTAAATAGCCTTCTTTGTCCTACACATCACAAAACATATTTTAACACAGGTAATTTTAAAAAATAAAATACTATAACCCAGGTATCTCCCACTAAAAAAGATTCTCACTATGCAGAAATCGGACACTCTATAAACCAGCAGGATGTGATAGAACAAACATGGACTTTGGTGCCTTAGAAACTTAAGTTCAAATCTTAAAGGTTGACCTTGTCCATGTGTCTGTGGGCAGAGGCTTAATGTCTTTGAACCTCAGTAGGCTAACCTCTCAGCAAGGACTCCCGGAGCTAAAGACAAGAGGGCAAGCAGGGGGTTGCCAAAGTAAGACAAATGCAGGGGTGTGTCAAAGCTGGTGGTCCTGGTGGAATCTGGGGCCAAGAATCAGGTGGCCCATCCAGGGCAAGGAATAGACCTGTAAGGAATGCTGGCAGGAAGGATTTAACAAGTCCATTGAGTTTCATGACCTGCGATTAAATCTGGCTGATACGAAAGAAGAAACAACCTTTTCCAGAAAACAATTGTTTTAAGAGCATAAAAGAAAGACGTTTTAAGTGAAATGTCTATTGCACATGTTAACTGTGAGACGATTAGATAACAGAAACCAGCCAATCCTACTGGAACACATTTATTTCAAAAGTGTGAGATAAGCTCTGTGACACAATAATTCTTTTGATGGACATACAGGAATGGTCAGTTCATTGTAATCTGAAAGCATGACTTTAAGTAAGTTGAAGTTCATTGTTTTAAAAGAGTGAAATTAGCACATTTGAAATTGGATCAACAAAGAAGGTTTATGTGTTTATAATTAACTGTAAATTAGCACCCCAGACTGCACATGTTTTATTCATGTTTTGAAGATAATTCGAGATGTCCATGATGGTATAAAAGTGGGCCTGCCTCATTAACACCTTACATTTGTATAGCCTGTGAGCAATACTGACATTGAAACAAATCTGTGACATAGTAGGACAGAATTTGTCCTCCTTTTAATAAACACATAATTTCAATCTCTCTTTAAGAGGCTAGTTGACATATTCAGAGCTACATAGTAAAGTTGTAGAGCCTAAAGAAGAAACCAGAATTCTGATTCCAGAATATTTTTTTTCAGCAAAAAATATCGCAAAGGACTGATCATAAGCTAAATTATTTGGAAAGCTATTTCTCTTCTCGTAACACCAAGTTTCTCTTCACCATGATTCCTTGAATTCACAGTCCAGTGTACCCTCTTCTTTGCCCCTCTGCCATCAAGAATTCTATTCGTAAAATAATATCAAGTGTCAGTCGTTTACACTTTAGTGTGAATTTAAGCCAAGGTGGTCTCTCTACCATAGTCTTTTACATTTCAATCACTATCTTCCAGTTCAATAATAGCAAGGCTTTGTGCCTTACAGAAAGGATTTCAGAAGCATAAATAGCTTTAACAGTTTTGGATAAGGGATGTTTTCTAAAAGCTTCTAGTGAAAAATAACCTGGTGTACATCTATGAGCCTAATATATAAAATGTCCTTTACACAAGATAGTAAGCTTTCTAAAGGATGGGCTCATAGCTGTCTTGTTAGCTATTATATCACCAGTGGCTGGATACAGAGCCTGCTATATAGTTAATGCTCTAAACAATTCTAGAATCAATAAAACTAACCTAACAAATACAGCAAGTGATGTCAAATATGTCACATTTTCATAAACTGGATAAAGATAATAGACACAAAATGACATATTCTAAAGAGTTTTCCAGCCTTTGGTAGGATTGGAAAATAATGTCTAAAGATACCAAAATAATTGACCATCTGCCTGGGAGTCACTTATGAAATTAGGTAAAAAAGAGATTAAAATGGCTGGACATGGCAGCTTACACTTATAATCCTGGCATTTTGGGAGGCCCAGGCAGGAGGATTTCTTGAGGCCAGGAGTTTGAGACCAGCCTGGGCAACATAACAAGACCCCATCTCTACAAAAAATAAAAATTAGCCAAGTGTAGCAGAGTGCACCTGTAGTACCACCTACTTAGGAGTCTGAGTCAAGAGGATCTCTTAAGCCCTAGAGTTTGAGGCTGTATGTGAGCTGTGATCACACCACTGCACTCTAGCCTGGGTGACAGAGCAAGACCACGTCAAAAAAAAAAAAAAAGCAGATAGACACTAAAATGATAAAAGAAGGGGTCAGAGACTCCACTGATGTGGTGACAATATGGTTCTTTATAAGGCAACACACCCAGAGTTTCTTTGTTTTTTGTCACTATTTCAATGTCATATTTGCATGTTTTTATAATGTCACAGAACAAGTAGAACCTTGACTTACGTTTCATGTTCTATCATATTTCTTAGATTTACACATTTCTCCTTTGAAGTGTGGGATCATTATGTTGGGCTGTTAGATGGGGTCATTTTATAACAACGGGCAGGGGCAAGTTGTGCCTCTTCTCCTGATACTCGGTCATAGCCTTTAAACTCCAGATGAGATGGGGTGAGTGTTTACTCAAGACAAATGGAAATGCTGTATTTCAGGAGGAATCAAAATCCAAGTCCAAAGTCGAGCACAGAGAAGAAAGTGTGACCATGGGAAAATGAGCCTTGGGGTTAGATTTGGGAAAATGAACATGTAACCAACATTTGGAGCATAAAATCAATGAAGTTAAGTAATTTAGGACTGAGGTCAATAACAGTGTAAGGCTTATTCTTAATCAGTGTTACCAGTGTGTGTGTTTGTGTGTGCATCTGTGTGTGTGTGTGTGTGTGTGTGTGTCAGAATTGCTATTTGCTACACTTGCTATTGTGAAGGAGGACAGATCAAATCGTGTCCTATATTGGTTTTTATTTCATGCCAGTAAGACTTCAAAATAAATAGACCTACTCCACTTCTTGAAAGCAAGTACAATGTCTTGATCAAGAATTTATTCTTTGTTGAGTGTAACAGATGCATAACAAATATTTATTGAATTAATAAATCCATCAAAGGTGACAAATCTTGTGATTATTTGTTCAATATAATAATTTAACAATCAAGTGTTGTTAGTTACAGAGGGAATTATTTTGAATATAACTCTCCAAATTGCTGAAGGGTTTTTTCCATCTAACTAGATTATTGCCTAGTAGGGAAGAGTAGTTTGTGTTGTTGCTTAACTGGTTTAACTTTTTCAATGTTTTGTATTTTATTTCATCACAAAGGACAGAGATGAATTCAAAATCTAATTTCAAAGCATGTTTCATAAATGGGTGTGGAAAAATATGACAACTGAGCACTTATAATACTTCACATATGTACCCTTGTGCACCTATTTAGACTGCCTGGGACATATAGCGTGCTATTTCTACAAACTATTAGGTTATTGGGAAATTTAGGATTTGTCAAGATTCCTAATTATCTAAGAATACTTAATGATTGTCACTAGGGTGACTCAAGGAGGCTGCCTACAATCCTTCAGCTTGACATTTTCCCAGAAGCAATCGTAAATACAGTGGGGATCCTTTGCAATTATGTTTTTAGGGACGGGTTATAGGAACAATTTGTTCCCTATTTATTAATTTATTTATTTGCCTGCCTCATTCCAGGATGATTTTGAGGAGGCAAATTGAGTTATGCATAGACTTTCCTGCCATCATTGCTTCATTCAGGGAATGTAGAACAAGAATCCTAAAATGTAGACCAAATCTTAGCACCTCTCCACCAGGAGCCTTTCAATGACTCCTCTCTGACCACAACCTAAAGGAGTCCTGCCTGGCTGGCTGCTGATGGGTGAGGGGATCTTGATAAGAGATGCTGCTGCAGGCTGGGTAAGACTCACCACAGAGGGCCTCTACGCAGGTCAAGGAGACTGCATTTTCTTTTGTAGGCACTAGGGCGCCATTATACGATTTGAAACAAAGGCATGGTATAATCAGATTTGGGTTTTGCAGTGTGTAACCATCATATAATATTTTTCTCTGGGAATTTGGATCTTCATTGACCTTTCTGAAAATAAAGCCCACAGAAGGAGTAAATCTTCCTCTAAAAACTAATGAAGTATATTGAGGGAGTAAGAGAGTGCAAATGTGAGCAGAAATAAAGGTACCATGTTTCTATCTCATGTGGGCAGTAGCCACACAGCTGCCCAGAGAGAGATAAGTCTGCACAAGGATCTCTCTCTTTAGAAGTTCTTTAAGAATCTTAAGAGGGTGATCAGAGTTACTGGAAAGGAATTAGTTGGAGGGATCCTTTGAGCAGTGAAGAAGTCCAATGGGCCAGTCACTAAGAGAGCTTTGTCCTCATAGACTCACAGAGGCTCCTTCTTTTGAAGACTTGCAGATCACTCTCCCATCCCAAATGTGTCTCTTTGAGGAGCGGGTATGTAAAGCACTCAGTGGCCATCTCTATTATAGGACTCAGGGCATTATTTTGCAAAACCTATCTGTTATCTTCCATTATTCTGTGAGTTACTTTGGAAGAGAACTAGTATTTCATTCCTTTATTATCAGTGCCTAGCACAGTGTGTGATTCACATGGAAGGTGCTTGGGAAAGTTTTTTGATCAGTGAACATATGACTGATAAAAATATGGATTTTATGAATAAAACCAGAACTAGTTGTTCAGAGAAATAGATTCTAAGGGATATTTTGAAGGCTCCAGTCCCAAGGATACTTAAGGATATAATGGATAAGCTTACATAGGATGTGAGTAATTAAGAATCAATGTGCATTTTTTCATCCCCAAGAGAAACAAACACAGGTACTCCCTTGTTCTCCTTCCTGCCAAACTCCAGGAAACCACTAATCTACCTTATGCTCTACAGATTTACCAATTCCAGATATTTCATATAAATATAATCATACAATAAATTTTTAAAAAAAGAATCACTGTGCAGGTGGGAATGTGACTAAACAAACTTCTGGGTTCCTCCAGCTAAAACTGGATTCTCTAAATTTTTTTTTTTTTTTTTTGCAACGGAGTTTTGCTCTTGTTGCTCAGGCTGGAGTGCAATGGCGCGATCTCGGCTCACTGCAACCTCCACCTCCCAGGTTCAAGCGATTCTCCCGCCTCAGCCTTCCCAAGTAGCTGGGATTATAGGCATGTGCCACCAAGCCCGGCTAATTTTTTATTTTTAGTAGAGATGGAGTTTCTCCGTGTGGGTGAGGCTGGTCTCGAACTCCCGACCTCAGGTGATCTGCCCACCTCAGCCTCCCAAAGTGCTGGGATTACAGGCATGAGCCACCACGCCTGGCCTAAAATTTAGTCATATGTAACAACTTCAAAAAATATGCCAAATTCTAGCAATCATCATACAGTTTATTTTATAGACAACTATTAACATGGATTAATGGTGTATCTACAGTGAAGATGGAACTATTAAGGACATAATGACAAAAAAGAACCTGAGTTTTATAATCAGATGATGTAGGTTGGAATAAATGCTTATTAAATTCACACTCGAATGGCTGTATAGGTAGATAAGTGAGTGACAAACTGGTCAAGTTACTTACCTGAAATCATAAAATTGGATGGGTGAAATAAATACAGATAATCTGATTCCCAGAGCTACACTGCCCATTCCCACACAGAGAAAGAAGAAGGAAAGACTGATTCAGAATACTCCTTTTGTACTGATAGAAATAGATGCAGTTTTTTTTCATTATGTACCATTATGTAAGAAAGCATTAAACCTATACCAGAATCATCAGAAAGTCCTCAAGTGGAGTTATCCCTAAGTCAGAAATTAAGTGGGAAAGGTTAGTTCTGAAATGAGTTGGTTTATTCTATGCGTTTTAATATATTTTGGGTGAATTCTTAAATGAAGAGATAATGCCTGATAAGCTGCTTAAATATTTGAACATCAGAAATGAAATCATAATTAAATCAAGTAAAATGTAGTATAGTAAATGTCTATCTAATGTCGATATTCTCTCTTGGAGTCCTTGGAATTCGAATGGATAAAATTTTTTATCTTACAATTCTTGGGATTTGGCTCAATATTTATTACATTATCAGTGCATACCTACACACACTAACTAGTTTAGTGATAATGAATGCTGGGGTCTTTACAGATAGTAGCAATGTACCAAATGATTCTAATTAGAATGATGGGATTGTACTTAGGGAAGATACCATAGTAGATGCTGGTATGGGAACTATATAAGTAAATACAATTTCCTCAGCCTGAGCTTGCTGTGTGACCTTGGGCTAGTCAGATAACCCTTCTCAGTTCTACTATTTTCACTTTTAAAAGTAGGAATTTACCTAGTTTCATCTTTAAGTTGCTTCTGCATATATATGTATGCTCTAAAAATATTATATACCCATAACATTTTTAAATGCTTATTTTTGTAAGATGAGTCCCATTTCAGTATGTTAATAAATAATAATAAATAAATGATAAATAATTTTCAGTATAAGAAGTTAATAAAACTCTAAAAATATTTTATACCCATAACATTTTTAAATGCTTATTTTTGTAAAATAAGTCCCATTTCAGTATAAGTTAATAAATAATTTGAGCACCAACTGTTTTGTATTCACTGTGGTGAGTTCTATATAATGATGAATGTATACAACTTTTCGTCGATGAACACTCATTCATTTGTTCATTCATTCAACATATTAACTGACCAGCCCTAGGAATATATAGATGACAGTATTAGTTTCCTAGGGCTGCTGTAATAAACTACCACAAACACGGTGACTTAAATCTACAGACGTGTTCTCTCATAGTTTTGCAGGACAGAATTCTGAAATCAAGGGGCTGACATCCCTATGCTCCTTCTGAAAGCTCTACGGGAGAATTATTCCTTGCCTCTTCTGGCTTCTGGTGGCTGCAGGTGTTCCTTGGTTTGTGGCCATACGACTCCACTTTCTGCCTCTGCAGTCACATTACCTCTTCCTCTTCTCTCTGTTTCTTGTGTGTGTGTCTTCAAGGACACTTGTGATTGGATTTAGGGCTCACCTATATAATCCAGGATCATCTCCTCATCTCATGATCCTAACTTAATTAGATTTGCAAAGATTCTTTTTTCCCAATTAAGGTAACAGTCACTGATTCCAGGGATTAGGACATAGTCAATATATTCAACCCACTATAGTGACCAAACAAACACAAAAATAACAAGCAGATGAAAACATTCTTTTGCCCTGATGAAGCTTATAATCTATTGGGGGAAATAGACATTAAGCCAAGACATAACTGTAAAATTTAATCATTCTTTTTATATAGTAATAAACATATAGCTATAAATTCTATTTAGATCTATTAAGGGAAATGACAGAATATTTTGAATTATTATAATAAAGGGACCTTGCTAAGGATGGGGGTCAGGTCAGACCTCTCTGAATAAGTGATGTTAAAGAGGAACATCAAGAGTTTATAAGAGTAGGTGCCTGGGGAGAAGCCATTGGAGGGATGGGGGAGACTATTCCAAGCAAACAGAACATTGTTTCCAGGACCTTGAGGTGGGAACCCTGCTGAAGTAAATGAGAGCCACTGTAGCTGGGGTCTAGGGAACAGGGGGCACATGGAGTAAGCTGATGATGGGGCAGATGATAGAAGGCCTGGAAAGACTTCATCAAGATTTTAAAAACCCAAGTGCAGTGAGGAGCCTTTGATGTGTTTTCAACACGTTATCATCAGGGTCTAAATTACGTTTCTAAACTGCTACTGTGACTAATATTTGGAACACATGTTATAGAGAAGCAAGAGTGCAAACAGGGAGAAGGAAGTACTCAGCAAGAGATGGCTATGGCTTGGTCCAGGTTCATGGCAGAAGAGATGATGGAGGTGAACTGCTTTGAGTTATATGTTGGAGTTCCATGTTGGAGGTAGGAATTCCCAAGGACTGGCTATAGGGGAATGAAGCAGAGGGAAGCTTCAAGGATGCGTTCTAGTCTGTTGGAGGCCAGGCATTTAACAAGTGTGCTCATAATATGGGGATTAATAATAACTAAGTGATACAGATGAGAGAGGGCAAGTAATAGTGCCTGGAACAGAGTTGGAGTAGGTTGGTAGAGTGCCAAAGAAGCTACATTTAAGTTGGGCTTTGAAGAATGTTAGGTAAAGTAGTAAGGAAGGTCATTTCATGAAGATGAAGAGGCATAAGGAAAAACATCCAGAGATATGAAAGTGCATGGTATGTTCAGGGAGCAAGGAGAAACCTTGAAGAGACATGGCACATGAATGTGTTTCCAGCAACATCTCTTTTAGATGGCCCTCTGTTTCTCATAATCCTTTGTTTCTCATGGTCCTTTGGTCATAATACTATCTCAATCCCTCCTATAACCTGGGGCTTCCTACTACAAACACATGTGAACTGGCACACAACCAGGAACTACAGAGTCATGTATCCCTAAACTGCATAAGCATTGTGATTGATGGAGTAAGTCCAGATATGGAAGGTTCCCAATGATTAAGTGTCCTCTTTTAGAATTTGGCAGGCTATGTTAATTTATTTCTGGAAGAAACATTATGTACCCATGATAGACTTGTTTAATTGTATTTTAAAATGAACACCCAAGATTTCAGGCTCTTTGTTCAGGGTTGAGAGAAGTGCTGGTGGGGTAGGAGAGTGCTGTAGCAGATAATGGGAGAAAGAGTAGAAGGAAATGCCTGAAGTAAGGGTGGGTAGGACACATTATCCAACCTTCCTTCTGCTATCAGAATGATGTATCTACTACAAAAATTTGACCCTATCCCCCAAATGTTCAAAATCCTTTGACAGTTTCCAATCACCTGCATAGGCAGCTTCTAAAATAGTTTCCATTGATACACATGTGGCAAATGACACTCGCAGGGGCGGCACTCCTCCATGGGGAATGCCCAGGGACATTGACTCTTCTGGGCATCCCAGCTGTGTCTTTCCACCCTTTCTCTCTCCGGAAAACATAATATGAAAACACAAAAGGATGAGAGTAACATTTTCATAGGAATAACCTTGAAACAGATCTTCTATAATATGCCAACCAAGTAAATGTTTGCAAACACAGGAAATTTTATGATTAGTGACTATTGGTTGTAAAAAAAAAAAAATTCTCACTCAAATACAATAAGTACCAATGTCTTAATGCTTATCTGGCATGGCCAAGGTCACTATTTTAGGAAGTTTGAATACCAGGATTGTCAGCAGTGTTGCCAAATTCTTTCATGGCTTTACTCTGGAATATGGTGTGCTTGTTATCCCAAGGCTTGCTTTTCTAGAGACAGCTGATTGAATCAAAGAGAGAAATCCATATCCAAATTAATGATTACTACTTTGACCTCTACTGCTGACAGCTACTGATTTATTACATTACCATATACCAAGTAGTATGACACTTTTACAAATATTATTTTATTTAACAATTAAAACAGACACTGGAATCAGCTACTATTAACCCCATTTTACAACTATCATTATCCCCATTATTATCTCAGATAAGTGCAGCTGAGAATTGAGGAACTTAACCAAATTCACACCTTCACAGTGTCAGAACTAAGATTAGAAATGAGCCTATACAACAAATATATGAAAAACGCTCATCACTAATCATTAGAGATATGCAAATCAAAGCCATTCAATAAGGTACCATCTCACACCAGTCAGATAGCTATTATTAAAAAGTGCAACAATAACAGATGCTGGCAAGGCTGTGGAGTAAAGGGAACACTTATACACTATTGGGAATATAAGTTAGTTCAGCCACTGAGGAAAGCAGTTGGAGATTTCTCAAGAACTTAAAAGAGAGCTACCATTTGGCCCAGCAATCCCATTACTGGGTATATACCCAAAAGAAAATAAATTGTTCTACCAAAAAGACACCTGCACTCATATGCTCATCACTATTATAGTCACAATCACAATAGCAAAGACATGGAATCAAACTAGGTGCCCATCAATGGTGGACTGGATAAAGAAAATAGATGGTGGCTGCACATGGTGACTCACGCCTGTAATCTCAGCACTTTGGGAGGCTGTGGCAGGCAGATTGCTTAAGCTCAGGAGTTCGAGACCAGCCTGGACAACATGGAAAAGCCCCGTCTCTACAAAAATACAAAAATTAGGCAGGTGTGGTGGTGTGTGCCTGTAGTCCCAGCTACTTGGTGGGCTGAGTGGCAGGATCGCTTGAGCCTGGGAGGTTGAGAGTGCAATGAGCTATGTTCAGGTCAGTACACTCCAGCCTCTCCAAAGTGAGAACCCTGCCTCAAAAAAAAAGAAAGAAGAAAGAAAAAAAGAAAGAAAGAAAGAAGAAGGAGGAAAGAAGAAAGAAAGAAAGAAAGAAAGAAAGAAAGAAAGAAAGAAAGAAAGAGAAAGAAAGAAAAGAAAAGAAAAGAAAAGATTGTACCTGTGCATAAAATACTATGCACATAAAAAGAATGAAATTGTGTCCTTTGCAGTCACATGGATGCATCAAGAGACTGCATTTCTAGGCAAGTTAACACAGGAACAGAAAACCAAATATCACTTGTTCTCACTTATAAGTGGGAGCTAAACAATGTCTATTTTTTTTTGTCTTTATGGGAACAATAGACACTGTGGACTACTAGAGGAAGGAGGCTAGGAGGGAAGTGTGGGTTAATAAGCCACTTATTGGGTCCTATGCTCACTCTCTGGATGACAGGATCTCTACCCCAAACCTCAGCATCATGCTGTACACCCACGTAACAAACCTGCACATGTAACTCCTGTATCTAAAATAAAATATCAGATTATAAAAAAACAAATGAAACTCTAATTTCAAATAGTATACTCAATTATTATTCATGTTTTATTTTATATTTATAAACATACAATAATACAACTAACTGGAACACATACAGAAGAGACTCTGGACTTCTGATTACCCTGTGGATATTCCCTGGAGAACAGCAATGCCTAACAGGCACTCTGACCATGTCTTTTCACCCTAAATATAAGAAGGCAGACAAGAGCTATGAACGGTTTTGCCTTTAGCATCCTTTGGTAACATCCCCTAAACCACAATCCTCTTTTCCATTCTTCCTTCCTCCCTCCCTCCCTCCTTTCTTCCTTCCCTCTCTCCTTTCTTTCTTCCTTCCTTTCCTCTTTGCTCAGTCACCACTTACCTGTCTTTCTTCACAAGCCCTGGCTGGATTACTGTCTGGGTATCCCTGAATGTAAGAAGTTCCCATCTCTTCGAAAGGTGCTCCTTATATGCCTTTGATGGATGACTGTTCAAGGTGGAATTAGGACCACATTGGCTGAATCACCCTGAACATTAGTGCAGTGGCAGATGTTGTATGCAGCTCTTTCTCTCTGCAGTTTATAAGCAGCTTAGCATCTACTCTAAGAGATTACAATCTCAGTGGGGGATCCAGACATGTGAAAATGGCTCCAACACATGGCAGGGATCAAGATTAGAAGTAGGTAAAATACAGAAAGGAATCAAAGAAGAAAGAATGGTCAGAGAAGGTTTCATTCAGCCAGGTTTTGCAGGTTGAGAAGAATTTCAAAAAATGAGAATAGGCAAGAAAAAGCCTAGAGGAGGAAACAGTATGAGCAAAGTAATGGAGGCAAACAAGTAGAAGGTGAAGTCAGGAAGAAATCCATTATCTGGTATGGTATTATCAGGGGCATATAATAGTATGTTTTTGGAAGAACATCATAAGATGAATTGGGGAAACATGGAGGAGGGAACTAATTTTGTTTTCCACTGAAGGAAACTTCTGATCCACATGAAATTCCAGTACCATGTTTATTGAAAGGCACTAATTTCCTCCTTCACTTCTATCATCATTGTCATTGTTATCATAATCACAAGTATTAAATCTTATTCATGTGTAGCTTTTTACTGTTTCTCATTCACAACTTCATTACATCTTTAAAACCTCATCACTGGCCGGGTGCGGTGGCTCACGCCTGTAATCCCAGCACTTTGGGAGGCCGAGGCAGGCAGATCATGAGGTCAGAAGATCAAGACCATCCTGGCTAACATGGTGAACCCCGTCTCTACTAAAAATACAAAAAATTAGCCGGGCGCGGTGGCGGGCGCCTGTAGTCCCAGCTACTCGGGAGGCTGAGGCAGGAGAATGGCATGAACTCGGGAGGTGGAGCTTGCAGTGAGCCTAGATCACGCCACTGCACTCCAGCCTGGGCTACAGAGGAGACTCCGTCTCAAAAAAAAAAAAAAAAAAAAAAGAAAAAACCTCATCACCAAGTTGATGGCATGGCTTTGGTAGAGAGTAAGAAAAACTGCAACTAATGCTGGCTTAAATAGTAAAAGGGATATATTTGTTCAAATTATTGTTAAGGTAATGTTGGCTTTAGGCAATGACTTGGTGATGTGATAGGGATTTGATTTCTTTTGGTTTCTCTGTGTTGATCTCCTTGGGGTCAGCTTTATCCTAAGGCCTGTTTCCTTTAGGAGACTAAGCTGTTGCTTTCTGGGCTACATACTATTTACATTCTTCCCCCTTCAAATCTGGCAAAGAGGGCATTTTCACCTCAGTATTTCTGCAGAAGCACTGAGACTCGGTCTAGTTAGACAACGGTAAGTTCTCTACCCACCCTTGAATCAACCACTCTGGCTAAGGAGATGGAATGTGTTGACTGACTTAGCTTGGGTCACATGCTCCAACCCAGAGCTGAGAGTGGAGTCAACCTCTGAGAAATCACATACTTCCCCAAATGGGAATTGAGATTTTTCAGGAAGGAGGAAATGAGGTAGAGATGAGTAGGATGAATGCTAAAGTAAGAGGCAACTGAAGAGTATGCTATGCAAAAATATAGGTACTTTTATTTCCCTTTCACAGCTGAGGAAATGGAGGTTCATAGTACTGTTAGTTCCACAAAGATGGAAATAGTTCCCTAAGATCATATACATCATGTGAAAAAAAAGAACTAAATGTATTATCATGGGACTCCAGAAGATAAAGGGATGTTACTATCCCTTTGGATAGACAGGACAGACAGATGTCATGGGCTGTGACCCTGAGCAAGTTATTTAATTCTCCTCCTCCTCTTCCTCCTCCTCCTCCTTCTTTATTTTGCTGGAAAATAGAGATAATAGTGGCACTTACTTCATGGTGTTATTGAGAGGAATAAGTCAGACATTTGCAAATATGAGTGACCAGATGCTCTTTTGTTCATTATAGTTTTAGCCCCCACAGCACCCAAGGAAGATGAAGTTCCTGAGGCTCAGTATGGTTATTGGCCATAGGAAAAAAAAACAAACCACTATCTTGTGAGTCCAAGCCTTACCCACCCTATTTTCACTGTACTGTACACTTAATGAGATCCCTAGCTCTCAGTATGAACGCCTTGCATTTAACAGGAATCACACTGAGGGAACTACACATGCAAATTATTATTAGCAGGAAAACAGGTAATTTTTTTTTTTTTACATTTGCATCATCTCAGATGATCTTTGTGTTAGACATTCTTTAGCAAAGAATGACTGACTGAACTAAAGGGCTTGTGCCTCATTCAGACGGTCATTAATTCTAAATAAGAAATTCATTTCCTGTCACTCATGTTGCTTAAACAATGCAAAGCAGAGAGTGGCTACAGAGCAATCTGTAAGGGCTGGGATGGAAGCTGGAAACCACCTAGCCCAACCTTATAATTTACAGATGAGGGAAATGAGGGCCAGAACAAGGAAGGTCACACAATTAATTAGTGGCAGAGGCAGAGCGGGGGCTGGAGCCCATTTTCTTTACTTCTATGCCAGAGTCTTGCCATGAAACCATGAATGTGATCATCTGACTCCTGTTTGGTTAGGAACTCCTTGATTGTTAAAAACATACTGGGGGCATGGATAGAGAGACATTTAATGTGATAACGGTTCCAAAATGAAAATATATTAAGAATCCTTCACAAATTCCCTTGTGCTATATTAATTTTATCATGATTATTTTTACAGTGCACTTGTGGGGGCTGGGGGGAATGGGTATCTGTATGTATTGAATGGTCTCATTTGAGTTCTGCCCATGTAAAGGTATGAACTAAAAACATTTTACATTAAAACATCAAATTGCTTATGGTAACCATTGCATAATGAAGGAACACAATGAAGAATTACAGTTCAAATTACTTATCAGGTCTCTTCCATTTTCTAAGTTTTTAAAGTAGAAAATTGCACAGTATAATTACAGTAAGTTAATTTGCATTCATATTACAATTCAATGAGCAATTACATTCTTTTTTATTTTAAAAATATTTTATAAAGTGTGATTTGCATCACTGTGTTTCAAGGGAAGAGTGGTGACTTTTCCCTTGTGAGGTTTTTCTGTGAATTCAATCATGTAGCCCTATACCTTCTGGTATAGAGTTGTGACCTCTTCATTGGCCTTTGGGACAGAAGGGAAGAGAATTATTTGAAATTTGACTCTGGTTTCACAGCTTGTGGACAAGAACTCTTCCAGGAATTACAGAATATCAAGGTTTGGAAGAAGTTGAAAGTCTTACCCTTTCCCCATTCACTTTCACCATCTGAAGCTTGCATTTCTCTATCAAATTCCTGCCAAACCATCATCCAACATCTTTTCATTAACTCCTGTGCCAGGAAATTCTTTTTTTTTTTTTTTTTTGAGACGGAGTCTTGCTCTGTCACCCAAGCTGGAGTGCTGGAGTGCAGTGGTGTGATCTAGGCTCACTGCAAGCTCCGCCTCCCAGGTTCACACCATTCTCCTGCCTCAGCCTCCCAAGTAGCTGGGACTACAGGCAGCCGCCACCACATCCGGGTAATTTTTTGTATTTTTTAGTAGAGACGGGGTTCACCATGTTAGCCAGGATGGTCTTGATCTTCTGACCTCATGATCTGCCTGCCTCGGCCTCCCAAAGTGCTGGGATTACAGGCGTGAGCCACCGCACCCAGCCTATGCCAGGAAATTCTTTACCTTCTGGTGGCATCCACTTCATCAATGGACAATGTCTCCATTTTGTAGAGGGTGCATCCATCTTGGTGTAACCATTCTCGCATTAATGGAATTTAAAGGGTACTTGTTAGACATTCATTGCTTTGGCAGTGTCATGCACAACACAGAACATCTTGTTTATATTACGGGTATAACATTTTATTCAGGACTTGCACTATTAGCACAAGTGTCTGGGGTGAGCGATCATAGAATAGTGCCCACAAGGGTTGTAGGGGCTGGTTAGCTGCCCCACTTTGTCTGTGCCTGCTCTTTTGAAATAATTGAAAATTAAGGCAAAATAGACATATTGAAACGCGCAGCTCTTAAGAGTAGTTTGATCCGTCATATGATGATGGTCCTATAAGATTGTAACGGAGCTGAAAAATGTCTCTTGTTATAATGTGGTGCTGCAATGCATACTCACATGTCTGTGGTGATCCTGGTGTAAACAAACTTACTGAGCTAGCTGTCCGTCGTATAAAAGTCTAGCACAGCCGGGCATGGTGGCTCACGCCTGTAATCCCAACACTTTGGGAGGCCGAGGAGGTTGGATCACCTGAGGTCAGGAGTTCGAGACCAGCCTGACTAATACGGTGCAACCCCGTCTCTACTAAAACTACAAAAATTAGCCAGCTTTGGTGGCGGGTGCCTGTAGTCCCAGCTACTCAGGAGGCTGAGACAGGAGAATTGCTTGAACCCGGGAGGCAGAAGTTGCAGTAAGCTGAGATCACACCACTGCACTCCAGCCTGGGCCACAGAGCGAGACTCCATCTCAAAAAAAAAAAAAAAAAAGAAAGAAAAAAAAAGTCTAGCACATACACTTATGTATAGCACATAATATTTAATGCTTATAATAAATGACTATGTTTCTGGACTATATATTTATTATACTCTGATCATTATTTTAAAGTGTACTCTTTCTACTTATATAAAAAAGTTACCTTTAAAACAGCCTTAGGCAGGCCCTTCAAGAGGCATTCCTGAAGAAGACATTGTTATCATAGGAGATAACAGCTCATGCATGTTACTGCCCCTGAAGACCTTCCACTGGGACAAGATGTGGAGGTGGAAGACAGTGATATGGATGCTCCTGGGCCCTGTGTAGGCCTAGGCTCATATGTGTGTTTGTGTCTTTGTTTTTAACAAACAAGTTTAAAAAGTAAAATTAAAAATTTAAAAATAGAAAAAAGCTTATAGACTAAGAAGATAAGGAAAATGTTTATACAGCTTTACAATGTGTTTATGTTTTAAGCTAAGTGTTATTACAAGAGCCAAAAAGTTAAAAAAATTCAAAAGTTTATGAAGTAAAAAAGTTATTACAGTAAGCTAAATTAATGTATTATTTAAGAAGTCAAATTTTGGCTGAGCAAGGTGGCTCACGCCTGTAATCCCAACACCTTGGGAGGCTGAGGCAGTCAGATCACCAGAGCTCAGGAGTTCAAGACCAGCCTGTCCAATGTTGCAAAACCCCATCTCTACTAAAAATACAAAAATTAACCGGGCGTGGTGGCAAGTGCCTGTAGTCCCAGCTACTTGGGAGGCTGAGACAGGAGAATCACTTGAACCTGGGAGACAGAGGCTGCAGTGAGCCGAGATCATGCCACTACGCTCCAGCCTGGGTGACAGAGCGAGACTCTCTCTCAAAAAAAAAAAAAAAAAAAAGAAAAAAAGAAAAGAAAAAGAGAGTCAAGCTTAAAAAATGAATTTAATGTAGCCTGCATATAAAATGTTTATAAAGTCTACAGTAGTGCACAGTAATGTCGTAGGCCTTCACATTCACTCGCCACTTACTCACTGACTCATCCAAGCAATTTCCAGTCCTAAAATCTCCATTCATAGTAAGTGCTCTATATAGGTAGAGCATATTTTATCTTTTATATTGTATTTTTACTGTACATTTTGTATGTTTAGATACATAAATACCATTGTATTATAATTGCCTACAGTATTCAATACAGTAACGTGCATACAGGTTTGTAGCCTAGAATCAATAAGCTATACCATATAGCCTAGGTGTGTAGTAGGCTATATACCATCTGGGTTTGTGTATGTATACTCTGTGATGTTCACACAATGACAAAGCTGCCTAATGACGCATTTCTCAGAGCATATCCCTGTCGTTAAACGGTACAAAACTGTATTTGCTTGTATAACCAACACTACATTAAAGATATGTTTATTCCATTATCCCAGAAAGTTCCTTCTACCCCTTTCCAGGTAACCTATCTCCACTGAGGCAACTAATATTCCAACTTTCACTTGTAGATTTATTTTGCCTGTTCTTGATCCTCATGTGGATGGAATCACAATAATACCCTCTTTGGGGTCTGACTTGTCTTTTTTCACTCAAAATGTTTTGAAGATTTGTCCATATTGCTGCATATGTCAGTAGTGTATTTTATTTCTTGCTTAATAATATTCCACTGTATTAATATTGTACAATTTTTGTATCCATTGTGCTGTGTGTAGACATTTGGATTGTTTCCAGTTTTGACCTATTATGAATAAAATGGATATACATTTTCAAGTATATGTGTGTATATATGTTTTATTTCTCTTGGGTAAATACCTAAAAGTGGAATACCTACAAGTACTCCTGAGTAGGTGGATGTTTAACTTTATAAGAAAGTGCCAGGTAATTTTCCAAAAGGTGATACCATTTTATACTTGTACTAGCATTGTATAAAAAGCTCCACATCCTCATTAATTATTTAATGTTTCAAATGCTTAAATTTTAGCCATCTTAGTGAGTGTGAAGTGGTGTCTTATTACAGTTTTCTTTGCATATTCCTCTGGATCAGTGATATTGAGCATCTCTTCATGTACCTACTTATAGTTTTTTTGTTTTTTTTTTTTTGGTGAGCTGTCAAAGTCTTCCGTTCATTCTAATTAGATTGTCTTTTCACTATTAATTTGAAGAATTTCTTTATTTTTTTGGATTCAAGTCCTTTGTCAGATATATGTGTTGTGAATATTTTCCCCAAGTTTGTGGTTTACCATTAACTTTCTTAATGTTTTCTTTGATCATCAAATATTCTAAACTGTGATAAAGTTCAATTCAGCATTTTCTCATGTTCAGTGATTTTTGTCTCCTCTCTAAGAAACCTGTGCATACCTCTAAATCATGAAGACACTTTCCAAGGTTCTCTTCCAGAACTTTTACCATTTTAGCTTTTATATTTTGTTCTATATACATATGAGGAAGAACTTCATGCTGATTTTTTCCCATATGTTTATGCAGTTGTTTCAGTACCATATTTTAAAGACTTTCCTCAATGAACTGCATTGTCACTTTTCAAAAAAAAATCAAGTGACTGCATTGATCTATTTCTGTATTCTCTATTTTGTCTCATTTGCCAATTACCATAAGGTTTTGATTACTAGAGCTTTCTAGTAAGTCTTGAAATCAGGTAGGATAAACCTTCTAACTTTGTTCTTCTTTCCCAGGATTGTTTTGGCTATTCCAAGTCCCTTTGCATTCTCATGTATATTTTTTAATTTACTTGTCAGTTTTTTCAAAAAGTGTGCTAGGAATTTTATTGGGATTGTGCTGAATGTATACTTCAGTTTGGGAGAAGTGACATCTAATCAATAATGTTTTTCAAACCATGAACATTGTATGTCTCTCCATTTATTTGGATCTTCTTTAGTTGTTTTCATCAAAGTTTTGTAAATTTTGGTGCAGAAAGCTTGCACAACTTTTGTTCAATGTATTTCTGTGTTATTATAAATGATATTTTAAGTTTTCATTTTTCAACTATCTGATCAGCTGTGTAATTTTGGTAAATAATTTAACCTCTCTGAATTTATTTCTAACTTGTAAAATGAAATTTCATGTTTTTCTTAGAACAAAGGCAAGTATAAATATAAATATCTTTCTAGAGTGCTTTACATATTACATTGAATGATATATAGGAAGTGCATATCTGGTATATTAGACAGAAATTTTGGTTGAAAGTGAAAAAGAAATCCAACAACTTGAATTACCTTAAATAATAGAGGGGACATATTGGCTCATATAACAGAAAAATCTGGGGAACAATGGAAGTTGGCTTCTGGCATGGCTAAACCAAAATCCTTTAACAA